>NC_000006.12:16120606-16272121 GCF_000001405.40 Homo sapiens
TGTATGTCCTTCTGCGTTATTTTTCTGTATAGATTTGGTGTGCATTTAATATTCTTGTAATAATATTCTGCTGGTTGTTAAAACTTTATTCAGCAGTGAAGCAGTGAGGGAGAGGAGGAGATAAGACATGACCCTAAAGTCTCTGCCAGCTCCATCAGCACCTCGGGCAGGTTCTGTCTGCAATCCGTTCTTTTCTTAGATGATTTTTGATGAGTGAGGGGGTTGTTGAGCCCCCAGCTGCTGTTTCCTCAGAGGCCTGCTTGCTCTTGGGTAAAACATGGGGACAAAGGCTGACAGTGCTTTGAAGTAGGTGCCTATTCCCTTAGGGCTGGAGTATTTGAAAACATCTACACAGGACTCGCTTACGTGCTGCTTACATATTTTTCCTGCCATTGAGTCAATGTGACACTTCATTGCCACAGTAGTCGGGCAGGAGAGCTGCAAACAGAAACACAAACGGGAGAGCTGAGAGGCAGCCAGGCAATGTCCTCAACTGACCACAGTCTCATTATTAAAGAAGATAGAAAGGTTATTTAAGCCAGAGGAATCAAATAGTCCCAGTGGATGAGGGATGGAATAGTGACTAGTGAGCTCCTTTTGTAGTTTACTTCTTTTGGGGACAGCATCCACTGAAGGCTTGCATAGCTCTGAGAAACCTGCAACGTGAAGATTAGGCCAAGGCAAAATGGCCGACTCTTAACAAAGTTGACTTGCAACCCGTGTAATTGGAATTTGATGGGGGGAAAGCGTGGCGCAACAAATCAAAGCATAAGTCTCTAACCTCTTGTCCTTATGATCTTCAAATAGGATTCCAGATCTAAAAGCCTCTTATATGACCATGAATTTAGATCTTGCCTAGAAAACAGCAAGAGTGCATGAGGGAGCAGCACATCCCATCAGTCATCTGCTAGCAAGAATTGTCTCCTAAGAAAATTGATTTACACAGCAGGATGTCAAATGGATGACAAAGGTAACATAGGCAAGCAATTTAAAGGAATCATATCATTTTTCCACTGTACATTTGAATATCACTTTTCTTCCACTGTACATTTGAATATCACTTTTCTAAGTATTTTTGCCTCGTTATCTCTTTTTATACTTTGCATATATATACCATTTTTGGCTTGCCATTTTTCAAGAAAACATTTTCACAGCTAGATGAGATTTTTAAAATATATATTTGAAGCTGGTTAAAAACAACTACAATCTGAGAAAGACCTCTTATTGACTAAAGTGGAGCTTAAAAAGGGAGAGGAGGATTTGGTTTTTCTCCAAATGCCTAGAAATGTAAGTGATGCTTATTTTTAATCTATCACAATCCTGTATCTAAGACCTTCCTTGGACATCTATGATAAATCAAAATATCTTTATCATGACAAGAACAGTGATATACACCCGGGTGGAATCTTGATTTCATGAGTATGTATTTGACATAATTTATTACGAAAAAGTGAATTAAAACTTTGTGTTACAAGTCTTTCCATCTAAATTAGACCCCAAGATCAAGAGATTTGGTGTTTGTCTTCCTTACATCTGCCATTGGTAGCCCCAACTTTCCAGAGAAAAAGCAACAACTGTTAGAAATGTTATAGATATACCAAGGGTATGCTAAATCAACCAGTGATGTATGTTGTGAAAGTGACAAGCTTTTGATCAAGATAGAAAACAAGATAAAAACTATGAGTGTTTTAGGATGAGGCATCTTCTCATTAAAGTTCAGTTACATTGTCTCTGCCCAGCTTTTTTACTGCTACTGACATTGGCATAGTTTATAGCACTTGGTATGCAAACCTCACCCTCCTTCAGTTATTCAATGTTGTGTCCTTGCTGTGTTCTCTGAAATTCTGATTATTTAAAAATGATTTGAAAATGAAGGTCTCCTATCTTCCTGGCAATCTCTCAATGGCTATTCATATCTAGCACCCTCTATCAAATGTTTTCCTCTGTTTCTCCACTCCTCCCCTCTTCTCTCACCTGGTTCAGAATTCATGGACAAGATTGCATGGGAAGCCATAGGCATTCCAGGGTAAGGAGAAGCAGACTGGTTCCTCCCTACCTACACTGATGTCCAGACCTCAGTACTATGCTTCCCTCTAAAACAGACATTTCTGTTCTCAGAGCTCAGGAACACAGCAAAGATTAGGTACAGGCTGTGGATATTTCTCAGGTTGCCAAAAGCAAGAGATTCTGCTCTTTCTTGGGTTCAGATTTGCTGGAGAACAGGAGTCCAAGCATGTGCTCCTCAGTGGTTGGTGTAAAGTCGGTGCCCACTAGGAGTTGAGGCAGATAGGTACCTTGAAGCCCAGAGAACAAACCAAATCTCTCATTGACCTACCTAGTTTTTGTGTAGTTGCCCTTGGTAATTCCTTAGTCTTAGCTCTTGACAGAGTAAGGTGGGAAAGACCTCAGGTATCTCACTTGGGTCTGAGTTTTAAAGAAAGTAGAAACTACCCTCCCCACCCACCCCACAAGGCCAGTGCAGAGGCAATAGTATTAAATAGTAATTCCAAGAGAGTAATTCTAGAGAAAGGTGAAATGTCCAGCTGCCCAAACTACATGGAATGTTTACCTCTTATCTCCCACCTTGGAAGATCTGGTTTTTAATTTCATTCAGGAAGACAGAAATTTTTGTGTACTCTCACACGTTTCACATCTCAATGCATTTTCTATATCGTGGACAAGTTCAAATGCATATCTATTAATGTTAACCTTGGAAAAACCTGTTAACTCATCAACTGAGGTTCAGGCTTGAGTTGGAGCCTCAGGCAGGTTGGTTGTCTATTCTCTATTCTGTGGCTTCCAACTGCATCCCTAGCATCAGTGAGTCCCCAACCTCATTCAAAACTAGAATGATGGTGAACTCTGCTGTGTGTGGATCAGCACCTATGTATCACTACCCTTGATAAGTAACTCAAAAACACATGCCTATTGATCATTTCCATAAGTAAAAGATAGGCATCAAAAACATTGTTGTTAAACAAAATGTACCAAGTTGGAAATTTTCTCCCAGCTCTGAGCATCTCTCAATGAAGTGACGTATGCTGAACAAGTAAGTATATCACAAAATGTGACCTTTCGGGGCATCTTAGTAGTGAGAAAGAAGACAAACGTAAGAAAGGTTAGTAGTCCAGAGAAGAAAAGAAGAGAACTGAGAAACAGTAACAGTTGGAATTATTTTTGTGTGGTTGTTGTTCTTTCTGGTTATAACTTTCCTAATAGTCATAATACCAGGTGTAGATTTGGAACTCTGCATCCAAGTCTCTCTTGCTCTCTTAATATATTTCTGGAAATTAACATGCAGTATTTGATTATAACATGGTCAATATTTAGAGCCCATCATATGCAAAATATAACAGTGAAACATCAATACTAAATAGAAATGTCTGATAAAATTATAGGTACTTCATTTTTTGCCTTATACTTTTCTGTCTTTTCCAAGTATTCTGCAATGAACAGTAACTCTCATAACTAGAATTTTTTTAACTGCCTGCTAATTAAAACAATGCCGTTTCAGATCTCCCAGAGTTTTTAACATGAGTGCTGCCTATTCCTGCTTCATTCCTTCTTTTTCTCTTCAAACAGCCAGTTTCAGAAATGAGATGTTCTGGTTTGATGGTAGGCCAGGATCAAATTAAACTACTCCTGAATTTCACAAGCCTAATATTTCAAATGAGAGATTTCAGCTCATTTGACATATTCTAACATACTTGTGCTTGATGAAGTGTTACTTATGTGAACCATTAGCTTGAATAATGTGTGAAAGCAAAATGACGGTTTTCTTAGGCAGTCACTAATTGTTCTTCCCTCAGTGCTTCTACAAATGAACGTTGAGAGGCAGAGAGAAGGGTGTGGCAGGTGATGAAGGCTGTCCTTCTCTGGAGACCCAGCATAGGGTTTCTGCAGCAGTGCACGCAGTGTTGAGAATGCAATGCACAGAGATAGGTACCCAGCCATCCAGATCAGACCCAGTGCTCAATTAGAAGGAAGATTTTGCAGCCAAATGATCATCACATCCACACAAATACCATCTAGTGCTCAGTCTTGAGCCCTAGTATGTGAGACAGAGAAAATCTGTGGTGCTTGGGTGTGTCTGAACAGCTAGAACTCCACTGGGTTAGCCAACTCTACCGCCTAGTTATGGTTTCTATTTTTAAATTCTATATTCATACAGCTGACCTTTTTTTTTCCACTATGCTGGTTAATTTTAATGCTATCTTTAAAAGATGAGAGCTAATTGAGAGAAAAAGAGAGCAGACACAGATAACTTGGGCATCTCTCTGGCTTCAATCACTGCTCAATCTAATATAGTTCCCACCCTGGGTGTTCAGAGTCTCTTATTTGGAGTTAGACCCAGCTGGGGCTTGAAACTGGCTCCAGACATTCAGCAGCATTAGCAGATGGTGGAATCCTCGAGGAAGTAATTCTACTGCGGGTTTTCTATTCCCTAACCAGGTCTTTTGAGCATAATGTGCTTTCTCACCAGCTCACTCAGCCTCCTCATTCTGTAACTAACCAGTCTCTCCTTAGCTCTACTCAAGGAATAAATTACAAAACAGAGATGGAGAGAAAAGACAGAGAGAGAAAGCGAGGAGAGAGAGGGGTCATGGTCCAGTATATTCCATACATGCTAGTGGGAAGCCAGTATTTTTTTTTTTTTTTTTTTTTGCTTCCCAGTCATAAGGATTTCTTACTGCCCGCCCCTCCCACCCCCAAGTGCCATTTTCCTATTTTTAGCTTTGTTTTTGTTTTAAGAAATCCTTCTCTTCAGTCTTATCTGGGGATTCTTAATTTCAAAACAATTGAAATCTTCACCAACCATCCTATAGCAGAAGCACTATCTGGGTTTGGATTAGAAATATCCCTGTCACGAGCACAGTGGCTCACACCTGTAATCCCAACTCTTTGGGAGGCAGAGGCAGGAGGGTCGCTTGAGCCCGGGAGTTTGAGACCAACCTGAGCAACATAGCGAGACACCCATCTCTACAAAAAAATACAAAAATTAACTGGGTGTCGTGGCACCTGCTTGTGGTCCCAGCTACGCTGGAGGCTGATGCGGGAAGACTGCTTGAGCCCAGGAGTTCAAGGCCGCAGTGAGCTATTTTCACATCACTGCCTGCCCTCTAGTCTGGCAACAGAGCAAGACTCTGTCTCTGAAAAAAAATTAAAAAAAAAAAATTCTTGTAAATCTTCTACTTCCAACTATTGTGCAAATGACAATTGTTAAAAATAGGTCGGGGCGGTGGCTCACACTTGTAATCCCAGCACTTTGGGAGGCCAAGGCGGGCAGATCACTTGAGGTCAGGAGTTCGAGACCAGCCTGACCAACATAGCAAAACCCTGTCTCTACTAAAAAAGCAAAAAATTAGCCGGGTGTGGGGGCGCGTGCCTATAATCCCAGCTACTCGGGAGGCTAAGGTAGGAGAATTGCTTGAACCAGGGAGTCGGAGGCTACAGTGAGCCAAGATCATGCCATTGCACTCCAGCCTGGGCAACAAGAACAAAACTCTGTCTAAACAACAACAACAACAACAACAAAACTATGAAAAATGTGGGGTTTTGTTTGTTTTTTGTTTTGTTTGAGAAAGGGTCTCACTCCCTTCGGCCAAGCTGGAGTGCAGTGGTGAGATCATGATTGACTGAAGCCTGGACTTTCTGGACTCAAGCCATCCTCCCACCTCAGCACGCTGAGTATCTGGGACTACAGACACATGCCATCATGCCTGGCTAATTTTTTATATTTTTAGTAGAGATGGGGTTTTGCCATTTTGCTCAGGCTGATCTCAAACTCCTGGGCTCAAGGGATCTGCCTGCCTCGGCCTCCCAGGGCTCTGGGATGACAGGCATGAGCCACCACGCCTGGCCAAAAAGTTTTAAATAAAATAAACATGTCAGATTTTACCTATGCTTCTACAAACTATTTTACAAGCTTAGATTTTTTAAAAAAACAATGAAATCATACTTGCAAAAGAAAAATCCCTGCTAAAACCAAAAATATAAGTTATTTTTAAAGTAGTCCACAAAGTGGGTATTTGGTTTGGGTGTTTGCTTGTTTTATTTTTGTTTATTTTTTTTTTCTTGGCCAACCAATATTTTCCCGTTCTACTCATTTCCACACCTGGTCCCATTGATTCTATGAGTTTCCAGTTAGCCAGCTTTAGTTTCTATTGTTCATAAACAAAAATACTAACCAATATAACTGGTCTCCCTATTGCCCCTCGCCTCTTCTTCCTCTTCTGAAACTTCTAGCAATTAAGCATAAAGTAGACAAGGAATGAACCAAACGCTATCTTCCAGATAAATTCCCCAGATTATTAGTAAACTGGAATTCAGGGAATAGGCACTGCAGTTAATACAAGAAGGGACTGTTTCAGCCCACAATAGCATGAGGTGTATTTATAAGACAGAAAGATGTGAGAGTGCACCTGTTCCTCTGCAACAGTGGGGGTTAGGACTTGGACAGTTTACAGTTTTACTCGGTCAGCTTTAGCAAAGAACTGTGTGTGGGAGGATCCCTCCTTTTTTTTTAGCCTTGGGCTCTGATATCGTACCTGGTTGTTCGGAAATAAAGGCCACTAACAGATCCTTGGGACTCGTGAAGGGGGGTAGGGACAGGAAAAGTCATCATTAAGCAGTGAAGGCACTGAACTTATAGCTCCCCTTACATACACGGGGACATTCAAATGCTTTTGTGAACGTTATTATCTTTGCTGCGCTTCCCAACAATGCTGGGTGGAGACAGAGCAGATATTGCCATCTCCATTTTACTGTTGACAACACCAAGCTTCAGACAGATGAAGTAAGTTTTCTCTTTTTTTTTCTTTCGTTGTTTTCTTTTTGTTGTTGTTGTTGTTTAGAGACAGGGTCTTTTGCTCTGTCGCCTAGGCTGGAGTGCAGTAGGGGGATCACAGCACACTGCAGCCTCGAACTCCCAGGCTCAAGTGATCCTCCCACCTCAGCCTCCCATGTAGCTGAGACTACAGGCAGGCGCCACCACGCCTGGCTAATTTTTTGTATTTTGTGTAGAGATGGGGTTTCGCTGTGTTGCGAAACCGGGCTGGTCTCAAACTGCTGGGCTCAGGCGATCCTCCTGCCTCGGCCTCCAAAAGTGCTGGGATTACAGGTGTGAGCCATCGAGCTGGCCTGAAGTAAGTTTGCTAAGTTTCCACGGCTGAAACCCACATCATCTGGCTCCTATAAAGAAATCAAAAAGGTAGGCTATGTAATATATTGGCAAAGAGGAACAAGCGGTAAATGAGTGAAGGGTTGTAGACCTTTAATAGCTAATATTGCAGTAATGCCACCTGTTAGGTCAGGAGATGAGCACCTTACCTTAAGACGAGGACAACATCTGGTTGCCTGTGAGAAGGGACAGGCAGGGTATCAGGTGCTGCACAAATGTTTAATGAATGAGTGAGATAAGACAGGAGGTAGAATGAGCAACCTGAGAGAGGGCCTGGTACCCTGTAAGGCGTTTTGATTCAGCAGAACGAGTAAGGAGAAGCCCTTCCGGAGTGTAACACACCAGCACTAGACCAAGACACCTGGCTCACTGGTCAGCTGCAAAAACTTTCATACTCAGATTTTGTTTTTCTCAATGATGAGGTCTTAATAAGGAACAACAATTCTGCCTCCAAGCAACCCACTGTGGCTAATCCTGGTGGAAAAGAGTTTTCTTTTTCTCTTTTTTTTTTCTTTTTTCTTTTTCTTTTCTTTTTTTTTTTTTTTTTTTTTTTTTTTTTGAGACAGGGTTTTTTGCTCTTCTTGCCCAAGCTACAGTGCAGTGACACAATCTCAGCTCACTGCAACCTCCGCCTCCTGGGTTCAAGCGATTCTCCTGCCTCAGCCTCCCAGGTAGCTGGGATTACAGGTGCCCGCCACCACGCCTGGCTATTTTGTTTTTTTTTTTGTATTTTTAGTAGAGACGGGGGTTTCACCATGTTTGCCAGGCTGGTCTCGAATCTGACCTCAGGTGATCCACCCATCTCGGCCTCCCAAAGTGCTGGGATTACAGGCGTGAGCCACCATGCCCGGACGAGAACAGTTTTCTTTAGGCTTTGGGTTGCTCCTTTTCCTTTTTGCTTTCACAACCGAAATGCGTGCTCAGAGTGATCCAAGATATTTGAAGAACAGTGGCAGCTTGGAGGTGTTTAATCACCGTAAATTCGAGACGGCAGAAAGGCGTCCCCGCCTGGAGCCCCGGGCGATCGCTCACTCTGAGCAGCGTCGCCCAGCGGACAGAGGCGGCTGGTGTGTTCCGGGGTCTCCCTCCCTTCCCGCAGCACTCGGCGCCCGCAAGCTGCCACCTCCCGGGGCGGCCAGGGAAACTCAGCCGGCTCTGGGAGGCGGGGGCCGCGGTCGAGGGGCGCCGCTATTGGCTGATCGGGCGGGGGAGGAGGGGCAGGGAGGCCGTGATTGGCGGGGACCCGAGCTGAAGGGGGCGGGGCCGCTATATCAGCAGAGTCCCTGTCGCAGCGCAGGCAGTTGGGCTGCTGGAGTGCGGCGCCACCGCGGAGGACAGGGGCAGCTGGCGGGCAGCGGGTGAGGGGGTGGCGGGGACGCGAGTGGCGGCCGCGGGGCCCCGGACAAGGGTCCGCAGAGCTGCAGCCTTCGAGGGCCAGCCCTCTCCGAGTCCGGGGCTGGGTCCCACCAGTGACAAGGCGGCAGCCCCGCGCACACCAAAGAGAAGGCGGCTGTGGCGGCAGCGGCAGCCCCAGCCATGCTGTGTTATGTGACGAGGCCGGACGCGGTGCTGATGGAGGTGGAGGTGGAGGCGAAAGCCAACGGCGAGGACTGCCTCAACCAGGTGAGGGCGAGGGGCAAGAAGGGGCCCCGGCGGGTCCCGCGAGGCCGAGGGGCCTCGCAGCGACGCCTGGCACTCTGGCGCGCCCCCTACTAGGGGCCGGGAGGCACTGCGGCGGCAGCCGGGGGGAGCGCGTCCCCTCCTCTCCACGGGCGTGGGGCGCGCGGTCTCCTCCTGGCGCGCGTGGGGTGCGCGGAGAAAGCGCGCAGCGGGGGTCCCCAGCGCTGAGGGCCGGGCGCAGCCCGCAGCCGGGATCCACCCCCCAGCGCCCCATCATCCCCCCAACCCAGCACTTTCCCGGAAGAAGGCGGCTCCGCACACCTGCCGCAGGTATGTGCGTGATGCCGCCTGTCGGGTCCCCGCGGCGCCTGGCAGTGCCACCCGCGTGCCAGGATGGGATGGAGTGGCTCGAAGCAGTCTCGGGCCCCAGGGGTTCTTGGCAGACAAGCCGGGCCCTTGTCTCACGCTGCTTCTCAGGCTGCTGCTCTCAAATGCACCGTTCACCTGCATCTCCGGGTTTGCGGGGGACGGGAGGAATAGGTTTGGGTCATCTACTGCTCGGTTGTTTTTAAGCATGTGTTTCCTTAACAGTGAGGGAGATCGGTGCCAAATAGTGCAGAGGTGGTATGGCAGACAGCACATGTGATCCCAGGAAAACGCTGTGCCCTCAACCCCTCTAGCTCTGAGATGTTTGGAAAACCGCTTGTGAAGCTTAGCTGACACTTGTGGCGTGTTCCCTCAATGTGTTTGATTTTTGGAGTCCAAATGGTTAAAATTGCCCAGATAATAAGTCGCCAAAAATCAGCTGTGCAGAGTATGCTGGTGGAGGGAATTCCGGTGATTGGAATACGAAGGAAAATACCCTGTAGTTTCCCCTCCTCATCTTTTGGAAGGCTACTTTTGAGGACTCCTTTTTTCTCTATTGCAATTGGTCATGCCCTAGACGTTAAAAGGAATTATGAGCCTCCATACTAGAGCTCGTGGTTTGGTATCATTGGAGCCGTGGAACTTTGTTTTTCCAGTTTAGATCAGGAATTGTAACACCATTGAACTTTGTAAAAAGCACCAGCAATCTTAGCCTCAGGGAGCCGTTGGGTTTGCTTTGATACGTACCATTTGCTCATCCAGGCTGCATTCCTTTTTGTTTTAGGTGTGCAGGCGACTGGGAATCATAGAAGTTGACTATTTTGGACTGCAGTTTACGGGTAGCAAAGGTGAAAGTTTATGGCTAAACCTGAGAAACCGGATCTCCCAGCAGATGGATGGGCTAGCCCCTTACAGGCTTAAACTTAGAGTCAAGTTCTTCGTGGAGCCTCATCTCATCTTACAGGAGCAGACTAGGTAAAGTGAGCTAAAATAAACCAATGTCAAATTGACCTTTGGTTCCCTTTAGAAGGGCCGCTGCACCTTCCCAGAGATACTCACAGGCAAGTTTGTTTTGATGCGGAGTTCCATCTTAACTTAGGTTTTCCATGCAGGTCCTTTTGTTGAGGTGGAGGGGGAGCTACCTACTTGGTCTGAGTGCATTTTCCAATCCTTCTTTTAGTTTTTCTTGTCTTTATAAACTTGATGGGTGAGCAGGGTTGAATTCTTACAAACACTTGAGATAAGTGCTACCCCAGGAAAAAAAAAAAAAAAAAAAGAAACCACCCTACCCGAGTGACTGACTTCCTGATAGCAGCATCTAATGCCCGATAGTAACCTCTGCCTCAGCAGTGTTACTATAGGTCATTGCAGACTGTTCTAACAGAAAGCAGGAAACAGTTCCTCTTGGGTTACTTAAACTTGGTCAGTTTCTTCAGCCTAGTGTCAGATTACAGTGTGCAGCCAAGAGCTCTGTTTGACTTCATGCAGAATTTTTAAAGTTTTTAAGTTTCTTGAAAATGTAATTTCATGAACTCTTCTAAGGCTACTGTAACTGAATTCCAACCCACAGATATGTTACACACGATTGGTGAGTATAGATTGAATTTATCTCTCTACGTTGTAAAACACCACCAACAGTGGTAGACAACTGAAGCATGTGGTCTCATTTTTCAAACAAAATATGTTCTCCCCTGGACTGACTCTAATACTTGATTCTCAAGAATGAGCCAAACTAGGAAATTGATATTTAATATTTATTGAAAGGCAGGAGACTTCAATCTTACAGTGGCATATCAAAAAATTAAAAAGGAAAACAGCTACTTTGAAGACATAGCAAGCTTTGGATCTAAGTTCTAATGTTTTTCATAATTCTTTGGCTGAGAAATTTGCCATGCATATGAAAAATGTGATTCTAAAAATTTTAAGTAATGATGAATGAGCATTATCCTTTAAGAGTTTTTTACATGACATTTGCTTGTTTGTTTTACCAAAGGACTGATAAAGACTCATTTTGAAATACTTATCATTTGAATTTGAAATTTCCACTTTGCCTTGTAATCGAGCTTTAAAGGTTGAGGCAGACGTTTAATTTTGTTTCTGAATGAAGATGGTATATTGAGTTCTTGGTACTCCTGAAAATATCTTGCAAAATATTCAAGTGATTGCATGCTTAAGGATGTTTTAGCTGTCTGTATTAATCAGAATAGACTTTTTAAAATTATTATTTAAAGCCGATTTGTGAAAGCTTTGCGCTTCACTGTCATAACTTGCAGTCGAATACAAGATATAACACAACATATTGGAATTTTCATTGTGTAGTCCTATTATGATTTTGTAATTATTTCAAGATCTCTAGATGCAACCCAGTTTTGATGGCACAAAATTATTTTTTAAATCTTCAGAAGCTTGGAGTACCAAATAACTGCATTTAAACAATGGCTGCAGTGATAATAGCATAATACATTTGTTTTATGAATGTATTCAGACTTTATAATTGACTAGTAGATGGTCTCTACCTGTGCTTTCCTGTAATTGGGTTAGTAACTATTATCAAATCAATTTTATTCATGTAAGAAATAGAGACATTTTATGAATTAGAACTTGAATCAAATTTCCTGTCTTGGTCTCTCCTTTATTGATTCAATTGACTTGGACTCTTGAGATTCATAATAGTACTCAAAGAATGTACATACCTAGTTCAACTAGGTAATTTTAATTGATTTTAATTCTTTTTGAAATTGTATGGAAAAGTTAAGTGTGACCTTAACTTTTAACTTGCTTTTAATATGTTGGTGAATTTTACTTGGTTTCATGGGGTTGGCTGAAATACATAACTGACACTTAAGTTTTAATAACTAGATAAAGTGATTTGTAATTAGCATTTGTACCTCTTAATTAGGACATCAGAAGCTGTACTGGGTCCAGTTTACAATTAGCATTGTTTTTACATGCATGAAACTATAGAACAAAAATATGTATGTTTACAAATGCTAGCAAATGAAGCTGGTTCGTAAACTTCTTTGATGTTTAATTATTTGTTGTAAAATACTTATATAAAATGCCATGAATATAAAATAGGTCTGTTTATGTAGTGAGTAAATTTAGCTTTGACAATCCAGTTATGAAAGGTGATTTTTTTATTCTTTTCTAAATCATGAGGGTGCATGTAGTGTAGTATACTGAAAGTATCTAGACAGTTTATTAAATGATGCTGAAATATCCTGGCAGAGTTGTCCTCTGGGGACAATTAAGGTAGCCAAGTTGGGAAGGGCAGTTAACTTATTAGTTCATATCAGATTAGGGAGGCCCTTGTGAGAATGATGGGCAGGAAGGCCTGTTTGTCATAGGACAGCACCAGGGAACCAGGCAGAAGCCCTGTATTGTAGTTTCAGCTCTGCCACCAACTACCAGCCATCCAGACTGCTATGGGCCCAGCTCTACATCCTACTTGAAGGCCTCTGAAGAGATGGTTTCTAAATTTCTCTTAGCAATAACTTTTTTCATTGCTTTTGTGTCCTCTTTATATTATTTTCCTTAATGTTTTCCTAAATATGTGTCTCTGAAAACAGAAAAAGCACATCAAGTGTTTGCTTAGATTGGTAGGTAGAGTTCTGATTTGGCCTAATTTTAGATTTGATTCTTCTATCTAGATTATGCTTTGCTCTTGAATATGAGCCTCAAATGTAAAAGGAGAGTCTTTTACTTTTCAGCTGGCATATTTCAGAGATGGAGACAGCAGGTTATTTTCAGCAGATGTTTGTGATGCCATGGAATAAAATGAATAGTGAAACAAATTAATGTATTCTGGAAGTAGATCTGAAATAATAATCATCTTGGAAATTCTTGCCTTTCAAAGGCTTTGAGTTTACTGCAATTCTGACTGGATTTTGTCAACATTTCCAAAACCAGAGATTAGAGAAGTATATGCTTCATCTTCACAATGGTAATTATACCATCCACTGCCAATAAAATCTATATTTTGCTCCCGACTTAGCCACGTTTTAGCAGAGCTCTGAAGTCTTTGCTAGGAGACGTTTTGCTTAGGTAAGGCTCACCAACACATGGATTCTCTTTTCCAGAAAACAACCCCATTCCAAGAGCTCCGTGAGTCCCAGACTAAATGTTCACAGAAATGCTCTAATCCTGGATGTTAAATTTCATCCAGATTTCAGTGATGCTGGCAGTGATGAGTTTGACTCTGACTCGTCCCTTGTTAAATCTGTCCTACCTTTCTGACCTCAGCCCCATCCTCAGCCCTCAGAAAAGTTTCCCTAGCCTTGCTTGGGAGACTAAACTCCCCCAAGACATCATGTATCTTTCCTTTATAGCATTTAATGAGCTTATAATACTACATATACTTACGTGGTAATTTGTTTATTATCAGTCACTCTAATAACCTAAACTCCATTAAACAGGGAGCTTATCAACATTGTATCCCCAGAGTCTAATAAGTGTCTGTTGCATATTTGTTGAATCATAGAATTAAGAACTTGGAAGTAAACAAAAATGGGGTTAACTGATAACTACTAATATAAGCTTTCCTAATAGATTTTGAGATGTTTTTCACTTTGCTTTTATAAACTGAAAAGTTGAGAGTATCTAAAAGAAATCTCACCATTTCAAAAATGTTTTGTAGTGATTATTTTCTGTTTGAACTTAACTTAGAGCTTCCTCACATTCTTTTGCTTCCTTTCTTTCACCCCCTCTACACCATCCTAGACCATGTGTTTATTGTGGCTATTAGTTCTTTCCTAAAAGAAACTACCACTTATCTGGGCCGTCTATGAAAGTCAGATAGTTTTCAAGTTATAGCATCACTTTAACTGCAACCCATTTATAGTCCTAAGTACATATTAACTAAGTATTTCCCTGTCTTCCAACAAAAATCACTTTTAGACATGTGGAAATCTGGGAAAGATTGCATGCCCAAACACAAAATAGGCCCTGGAAAGTAAAAACAGTAAAAGCAGGCATGTGGTTATTTCCAAAGAAAGTATTTAATCAAATTTTAAATTTCTGATATAATTTTTTCTTTTGTTAAGGCTATAGGATGTTTGTGTTATTATATGTGTTTATTTCAGCCAAGGAACGCCTGTCTGGGTATCTTTAGGCCCTTTTTGAATTTCTGGTACTTATATATTTGTATGAAATATTCAAGGAAGGTTTTTAAAACGACATGTAAAATTAAATCTGAGCATTTAGAAGGCACCTAGGGTCAGACTCAAGGTGACCAGTGTTGAGCAGCTGTAGGGACACTAGGTGTGTTTCCTCTGAATGGTGTCCCACTGTGGCCTGTTCCCAGCCCTCTTCTGTACCAGCAGCAGGACCTAGCAAGTAACTCAGAATGTGAAGGCAGTTAAAAAGATGATGAGGTCTGAAAATTCCTGAACCTTCCTGGCCTCATGGAATGAATGTACCAAAAAGCACTCCTTGGCTGATCTATATTGTTGGGAAAGAGATTGTAGTTAACATTTTCAGATTTCAGGGCTGCCTAGATTGGTGTTTGCCTAGGATGGGGATCTACTGTGAGTGAATAAGCACATTTTTTTAGAAGTGCAGATTTTCTGCTTTCAATTAGAAGTGTTCTTCTGGTGTGGGTTGTGATCACTTTTGAAGTTGGAAATTTTCCCAGCTGCTGCCCTCCACATCTTTTAACTGCTTTAGAGCAGGAACACTTTCATCAGTGATTCTCATTTTGTACTTTGGGCTTTGAAAAGGATCTCCTTAAGCCTACATAGAGACCTAACTTGGTAATTATTTGGCTGTGACAAGTTTCTCAGTGGCAAGCCCTCCATGAAGTAGATAGATGTGGTGGTTCACGTTAGATATGGCTAGTTACTTGAATCCTTGACCCTAAGGGATTTTTACTAGTATTACTTCCTTAACTTATGAAAATTTTCAAACAGACAGGAAAATTGGAGATTTTTTACAGGGAACACCTATGTATATATACACACATTATATGTGTGTGTATACATATATCTATATATATATATATATATATATGTATGCTATATATTCTATATAGTGTATATATACAGTATATATTCTATATAGTGTACATGTACACTATATATTCTACTCTATAGTATGTATACTAAGTATATACTATATATACTAAATTCTAATATTAATAGTTTACTCTACATGCTTTATTACATATTCATCCATTTATCAGTCCTCTATCCACCCATCAATCTGTCTTATTTTTAGATGCATTTCAAAATAAGTTGTATATAAGTATGTTTCCCCGTAAATACTTCAGCATGCATAACATTAACTAGAACTCAATGTTTGCAGTTTTTTCTTTTGATGTAAAATTTACATAAATCCTAATTATACCATTTAATGATTTTTGACAAACAGCTGTGCTTGTTTAAATAAAACTGCTATCAAAATTTAGAACATTATCATCACTCCAGAAAGTTCCCTGAAGCCCTTCTGCAGTCAACCCCTCCCCTTCTTTCCCACCCCCACCCACCGCACACCACACCTCTGTCATGTGTTCTTCTACCAGAGATGAGCTATGCCTGTGCGGCCTTATCTATATGGAATCTTGTGGTATGCACTCTTTGATATCTGGCTTCTTTTGTTCATCACAGATTTTTTGAGATCCATCCATATTGTCCTATATATCAGTGGTTGGTTCTTTTATATTGCTGGATAGTATTCCATTGAATGAATCTAGTGTTTGTTTATCCGTACTCCTAATAATGAACACCTGTTTTCCAGCTATTATGAATAAAGCTGCCATAAACATTCTAGTATGTACCTTTTTTTTGTAGACACATATTTTCATTTCTCTTGAATAAATAAATACCTAAGAGTGGAATAGCTGGGTCATGGAGTAAGTAATCATTTCATTTTATAACTAACTGCCGGACCTTTTCCCAAAGCTATTTGGCAACTGTGCTATTCTGTACTCCCAGCAAGAATGTAAGAGTCTAGTTCCTCCACATCCCTGCCAGCTTTCTGGTGGGTGTGTAGTGGTAGAGTGTTGTGGTTTTAATTTGCATTTCTCTGACAATTCATATTAAACACTTGTTCATGTGTTTATTGGCCTTTCATGTATCTTTTTCAAAGTGTCCAAGTCATTTACTCATTTTTGTTGTTTGCTTTTATTTTTGAGTTGTACAAATTCTTCATGTACCCTAGATACCAGTCCTTTGTCAGATACATGTTTTGTAAATGTATTTCCTCCTGTGGCTTACCTGTTTTTCTGATGCCTTTTATGAGTAGAAGTTTTTAATTTTGGTGAAGCCTAATTTATCCACTTTCTTCTTTTGTGGTTTTTGCTATGTCCTGAGAAACCTTTGCTACCTGGAAGTCATGAAGATACTCTTAAGTTTTGTTTCTAAAGCGTTACGGTTTTAGCTTTTACATTTAGACCCGTGATCCATCTTGAACTGATTTGTGTTTTACTGAAATTAAAGATACAAAACAGAAAACTCTCATAGCAATTCTGTTGTGATTTGATAGCTTTTAAATATAACTTGGCAGTCAAAGTTTGTTTTAAAATAAACTGTGGTTAAGTGACTCATTGGACTGAGGCAGGCTGGCTGATGATCACCGTGGGTTCTGACAAGGTGAGAGCAGAACCAGCCATTACTCACTATGGCTAGAGTCAGTCATGGCTCTCCAGGAGAAATACAATTCAATTATTGGTAATTGAGAATTTGAAAAAAATAGCTGCTTAGCTGTTTTAAAGATGTAGGTTAGTTCTTAAATTTTGAGTTCAATAATGAATCTGGATATAGTTATTTTACATTTGTCATTAAAAGCTCTTAAAAATGGTGTAACTGGTGAGGTAACTGGAGGGCAGTAACTGAGAGGAACCCTCTATGATGAGCAGATGAACAACTTCCAATTGGTTTGCAGGAAGTTCTGCTTTGATTCCTAGATAATTGCTTTATGAGACAAGCCTGTGTTTAGAGGAAAGTTCTCTGATTACAACTCTTAAAAGATAAATGATCTAACTTCATTCCTTAACATTGTAAGAAGGAATTAATTTTTAAAAGAGAGAAAATTTGAAGTACTTTGAAAGAAAAATATAGTAAGAATATGTGATTCATTTTTAAAATTAAAATTTGGCATATCCTTATATTCACTCCATTAAAAAAAAAATCTATAATGCTCAGTAAATGTTAATTCATCTGTGCCCACGATGCCAGGACATGAGTTTAGCCAGAATGTTACGCCTTGGGCCCCAAAATGTGATCCATATATTGAAAATATCAGTTTTCTTAGTAACTGGGTAAAACTTAAAGAAGAGTCATGAATTAGAAGGTATAACCCGAAGAATGTTTAAAAGGTGCAGTTTGAGCTTATTTATGCTCATAGGATGTATTCATGGACATTTCCTTAAGACAGAGAAAACAGTTTTTTTCCAAAGGCTTTCTTTCTGTTTGTGATTCTAGGATGTAGCCTCTATTGAATTGAATATGTCATCTACTTTTGATCTTTAGTGCAAAAGCATTCACTGCAGGCATAACTTATTTGACCACATCTGCTTGTTTTGATATTATTGGTAACATTTTGCCTACTTTACAAAAAAAAAAAGGAGGGGGCAAAACCCAGGAGCCAGATAGTTACAATCCAGATGGTTTGAGGGGAAAATACTAAGAGAAAATACTTGATTCAAAACCACCCATAAATATTGAGCCATCACTGAAGTTCTTGTTGGAAACATGTCTCTGAGCTCTGCTATCCTCTGTCTTGGAAAGAGCCTATTAGAGTGCTGATCTTTGCTACTAGTACTCTGTTGTACTGTTCTCCTGGAGAGCATAAACTTGTCACCCAAAAGCTAGATTGTGGCTGGAGTTATTTTGATGGGATATGTCCCTTTATTGTAAAAGGCTGTAAGTCCATCTAAAAAGGAACTCTCAGACATGTTTACCCTAAAACCCCAGCTTAGGGCTGGGCACAGAGGCGGTGCAAGACAAATATTTATTGGCTTGAAATGAAAAGGTTGCTTTATAGCCATGAAACTGCAAAATGCAGGAAGGGACTATCAGAAAGCTGATGTTGACAGTAAGGAGAAGGATTTTTCATGCTTACCAGGCATCCTCTGCACTCCAGGCTAGAATGTGGAGTATGTCGAAAAGGTCAATCATCGCCCTTGCTAGATCTTTTCTTAAATTCTGGCCCATATGCTGAGAAGGATCAGTGGTGCTCTCAGGCTGCCTGCCACCTGTTTACATTCTGTTACTGCTTCTTTGCCTTTGATTTTGGCCACTGTCTCTCCGGAAGTGTAGGCATGGATAGGTTGCAAAAAGACACGGAATTGATTCAAAACTCTTCTTACTATCTAATAAAGCAGGAACTAGTCTCTAACTTTACACCTGAAAAATAAGTTAAAAGCCACTTTTGCCTGTAATCCCAGCACTTTGGGAGGCCGAGGCAGGCAGATCATGAGGTCAGGAGATTGAGACCATCCTGGCTAACACGGTGAAACCCCGTCTCTAATAAAAATACAAAAATTAGACAGGCATGGTCTAATGTAGCTATCGGGAGGCCGAGGCAGGAGAATCGCTTGAACCCAGGAGGCGGAGCTTGCAGTGAGCCCAGATCGTGCCATAGCACTCCAGCCTGGGCGACAGAGCAAGACTCCATCTCAAAAAAAAAAAAAAAGGCCACTTTTACATAAGCAGTAATTAAACTAAGAAGACTTCGTTTGTGGCAATATTCTTCAAGTCTTTCAGAGCGTAATTTCTTCTTTAACGAAAGCATAGATGCAGATTTTAGTTTCCTAACAGCACACCTCCACCCCAGTCGAATACAGAGATGGGTACATTCACCAAGATGAAGTTTATCAAATGGTCATCTAAGAAGCCTTTTGAGGCCTGCAACAGTGTAGTAAACCACGGCTTGCTGAGAATGCTGGATCTCAGTCCTCAGATAGCTATTTTACAGCAAATTATTTTCATGGTGATTCCTTTGCCCCAGTGGGGGCTCCTTTCTCAGTTTAGCAGTATGTCAGAAATACTTTAAAGATTAGCAGATGTTTGGGTTAATAAAAACCATCTTTATCTTCTTTGAGGCTATTACACATTCTTACTATGATTTCTTTACACGGGCTTTGAAAAAAAGAAAAAACTGCAGTATTTGGCAGAGTTTCATCATTTTAAATATTTCTTTATCATTATAGAATGCACAAAACATTGAATTTAAATACTTCTTAGTGAAAATAAGATTAATGGCTCTTGTCAGCCAGACATTGTAGACTCTCAGTATAGCACCTCCTTAGATTTGTAGCCTCACTGCCTCCTCCTTAGTCGATTCTTACCTTGCTCATGTTCCTCTACCTGGAATGTCAGACACAGATATATTATTAAACAGAAACAGTGCTGAGGACATCGCACCTGGCCAAAGTTACAATTCATTTGTTAATGGGACGAATAATGTGGCAATTAGCCTTGTTTGAGAGGTTATGACAAGTCATCGAAGGAAGGTTAAAACTTCACATTTGCCAGGGACACTTGTTATAACTGAGGCCAATCTGTCTACAGCAGTTTAGGTGCTCTTCAGAGTTTTGGGCAGTGTGACCAGTATCTGAATTTTACAGGAGTTTTTAAGTGTGACATAACCTTTTAGTAAATGTAGAATATAGTATTGTATACAACTAGGATGGGCTTAAACAGGATGAAACTAAGGTTGGAAGGTAAACTAATCACACATAATATGCAGTTTTATGTACATTTTTGGAGCTCTCTGATGTTCGAGGCACTTAAGAAGTCATACATAATATACATGTTATGTCAAATACTGTACCAGAGGAATAGAGGATTTGCATGTGATACAGACCAAAGGGTATCCAAGCAAGGCGACAGAAAGAATGGCCCTCAGGACAGAGGGAGCAGCAAGACCAGAGACACCAGAGCATGAACATGCTTCCTAGATTTCCCAGGGAGAGGAATCGTTCCCTATCCTGGGGCATAGCAGCTGCAGGGAATGACAGGAGACGTGGCTGGAAAGCTGGGGCCAGATGGCGGAGACTCCTCAGCTCCACGTTAACAACGTGCTCCCTTGGCAAGCCGTACAGATCCTTTGAAGGATTTTGAGCAGAGAAATGACAAGTTTATACTAGAAACAAGCAGCATGGAAGGTAGGCTGCCTGCATGGAGTCTGGAGGAGGAGAGCAGCGCAGAGAATAGTGTAAATTCTTCCTGCAAGTAGTATTGAGGAGGTACAAATGGGAGGATAGAACTGGATTTAAATAGTTTTCAGAGAGAAGAAAGTCAAGTGAAATAGGACAAAGAGTCCAAAGTCAGTCCGTGGTCTCCATTCGGAGAAAAAGGGCTTGGGAAAGAATATATGGAGTTTGGTTTTGAATGAGCCAAAATTGAGGTACCGAAGAACATCCAGGTGGTGAAGCCTATAGGAGATTGGACATTTTTCATGTGATTCTTAGGACAGAAGCTGGCACTGAGACTAGAGATTGGGGTATCATTTGAATAAAGGTGAGAATTTTGTCTTTATGTATAGAGTTCCTTAAGATTCTATCAGAATCCATGTCAAGATACAATTTTTCTGATTAAAATAATTTCTTTTAAAACACTATAATGCAGAAACTTATGTGTAATTATTTTATGTTTTGTAACCTTAATGTTACCGAACTTGTGTTAAATAAGTTTATCTTGTTTGGGTCACAACTTTTATTCCAGAGAAACGCAGTTCTTATTTTGATTTTGCCTTAATACTGATGATTTTTTTTTGAAGTTCTTTAATGTTAAGCATTTTCAGTGTGACTTTTAAAATTGCTTTCCTTAAAAGTGACTGTGAAATTGCTAAGTAGGCTGAGATTGATGTCAGGTTATCCCCAAGCATAACCTCACTCTCACCTTGCTTTGCAGGCATATCTTTTTCTTGCACATCAAGGAGGCCCTCTTGGCAGGCCACCTCTTGTGTTCCCCAGAGCAGGCAGTGGAACTCAGTGCCCTCCTGGCCCAGACCAAGTTTGGAGACTACAACCAGAACACTGCCAAGTATAACTATGAGGAGCTCTGTGCCAAGGAGCTCTCCTCTGCCACCTTGAACAGGTGAGGCTGTTGAATATAGTATTGTTTACAACTAGAATAGGCTTAAACAGGATGAAACTAAGGTTGGAAGGTAAACTAATCACACATAATATGCAGTTTTATGTACATTTTTGAGCTCTCTGATGTTCGAGGCACTTAAGAAGTCATACATAATATACATGTTATGTCAAATACTGTACCAGAGGAATAGAGGATTTGCATGTGATACAGACCAAAGGGTATCCAAGCAAGGGGACAGAAAGAATGGCCATCAGGACAGAGGGAGCAGCAAGACCAGAGACACCAGAGCATGAACATGGCAGCATCAGGGCTACTGCATATATTCATAGAGCTATCAAATGTATAAGCATTTCCAAAAGAAGATGAATCTGTGGTACATACACATAATTTGTGAAGTTAAGACTGGGCCATTGCCCAATTTAACCAAATATTTTCAAAAAATTTGTTAGCCTTTTATTTGAAAAATATGTAAACACAATATGAAATGCTATATAAAATGGGAATTTTTTAAATCTGTGCCTTTAAGTACAAATCTCCTAAAATAAAAAATCTATTATGTATATTGGTGTTTTCTTCATCCCAGCAAGAATTAAACCAGGAGATCTAACATAGGCATTTTAGTTATCTATTCCTGCATAACAAGTTACCCCAAAACTTAGTGACATAAAACAACAAAAATTGTCTCACAGTTCTGTAGGTCAGGAATCTGGCCATGTCTTGGCTGGGTCCTCTGGCTCATGAGACTGTAGTCAAGCTGCAGGTAGAACTCTGTCTCATCTGAAGGCTCGACTGAGGGTGGCCTCCATGCCAGGTTGACTCCTGTGGTTTGTTGGCCTACCTCCTTCCCTGGCCACAGGGGCCTCAGGGGTCAACTTTATACTTATAAACTATATGTGGACAAATGCATGAGACTTTCCAATATGTAAATTTGACTTATGTATATTTTTAGAGACTTTCCATAATTCTTCCAATTCATCACCCATCCAGCATCCCCAAAGTGTTTTTACCAAGTATTTAATAGTTGAGATCCCAGTGTCTTAGACGTTTTTTATAGTAAGTTCGCTAAATACATGAAACATCAGTAATACATAAGTTTTAAGTTGTTGTGATTCATCAGTGTTAGTATATTTCACTCGTGAAGACTACATAGGTTTATCTCTAAAGCTAATATCTGTATACTTAATTCTCTGTCCTCTTGGTGTCCTCCAGCATTGTTGCAAAACATAAGGAGTTGGAGGGGACCAGCCAGGCTTCAGCTGAATACCAAGTTTTGCAGATTGTGTCGGCAATGGAAAACTATGGCATAGAATGGCA
This sequence comes from Homo sapiens, assembly GCF_000001405.40. Classification (NCBI taxonomy): domain Eukaryota; kingdom Metazoa; phylum Chordata; class Mammalia; order Primates; family Hominidae; genus Homo; species Homo sapiens. The sequence continues at coordinate 16,143,125 of NC_000006.12, forward strand.
TTCTGTGCGGGATAGCGAAGGGCAGAAACTGCTCATTGGGGTTGGACCTGAAGGAATCTCAATTTGTAAAGATGACTTTAGCCCAATTAATAGGTAAGCCAAGACTTAACTTTTTTTGACCTAAGCATGTGTATACATCTGTAGCTGTCAATGTAATAGAAAATAGGAAGGGATTTACTCGACAGTCAGCTCTTAGGAATGAAAGATTTCATTTTGGTATGTACATTAATTTTATTCAGGCCTAAATAACCATTTTAAATGTTATTCAAGGTATACAATGTGGCAGAGTTAACGTTTTCCAAATAACCCATTCACTGCCATAAAAAACTTGTTTTCAGCTCTAGACATGCATGTGCGCACACCCAGCACTTGCTCCCATACTTCCCTCCACATATGCCCAACTGCTTTTCACTGTATCTTTACAATAAGGCAGCATTATGGTGATGTGATAACCCCAGAGGAAGCGTCTGATTTTTCTGCTAGGTCATGAGCAAATGGGGATCCCACAAAGGCACACACATGGTGAAGAATCACTCCTTCTAGATCTGCTTTCTTTTCTCTTCCTGTCTCTTAGGATAGCTTATCCTGTGGTGCAGATGGCCACCCAGTCAGGAAAGAATGTATATTTGACGGTCACCAAGGAATCTGGGAACAGCATCGTGCTCTTGTTTAAAATGATCAGCACCAGGGCGGCCAGCGGGCTCTACCGAGCGATAACAGAGACGCACGCATTCTACAGGCACGTATCTCGTGTGCTTGGTCACCTCAGCACCACAGCTCTCAGGTTTTTAGGTGACAACCAGGTTTCTACGGTTCCTTGGATTGTTGTGTCAATGAGTCTAGTACAGAATTTAAGAAATTCTGAACATTTTGTTTCCGTAGTAGCAGTGGAGTCCTTATTAATGTAGTCTTGTTTTACCCACAGAAGGTGCATGTGTGTGAGCTGCACAAACACATTCTCTGCTTACCTCCTACCGTATTCTCTTATGCCATTAATCTAGACACAAAGTGTGTTAGGAGATTTCTATGCCTATTTAATCAATACAACAACCCTAAGGGGTTATTATTACCCTAATGTTAAAGATGAGGGAACTGGGAGGATAATTATTTACTTAGTCTAGGACTCAGCTTCAAAGCCAAGTTTGATTACCCTAAAGGTAACCCTGAGGGACTGGGCCTGCTCCACTGCTCAGGAGAAGGATAGCACAGATCATCTTTTCTTTCTGGCAGAGCTGCTATCCTGAGTCGTCACTGTGTATGGAAGGATTTTTTAATAGCAATATTGATTCCCTCATTTCAGAGGGTACTTTAAAGCCAAGTTGTGATTGGACTCACGTATTTGGACAATTAAAGCTAAGAAATTTAAGTCGTAGACAACTTTAAACTTTTTTATTTTAAAATAGATACACAAATTGTGAAACAGGATGGGAAATTTTTAGACATTTCTAACCTAAAAGCCAAGACTTCAGGCAGATGCCCTTTTTCTTCCATAAGCAACTTCACTCAGTAGCGTCTGTCCTGGGGAGGAGGTACGTGCTCACTGCCCTCTGTATTTACTGCTTTACGGAAGCCATAATGTCAGGAGATGTTAGAGAAACAGAGGTGTAATCACTGAGAATATTTACCAGACGTAAAACTGGAAGGACTTACTTTCATACATGCAGACGAGACTATGAAACATCTGCTGACATTTCTGTTCTTATTGACAACAGCGAATAAGGGTGCTGCCAGGCTCTTTGGTGTTAAAGTAGATGTTCAATCTTGCCTTGCAGGTGTGACACAGTGACCAGCGCCGTGATGATGCAGTATAGCCGTGACTTGAAGGGCCACTTGGCATCTCTGTTTCTGAATGAAAACATTAACCTTGGCAAGAAATATGTCTTTGATATTAAAAGAACATCAAAGGAGGTGTATGACCATGCCAGGAGGGCTCTGTACAATGCTGGCGTTGTGGACCTCGTTTCAAGAAACAACCAGAGCCCTTCACACTCGCCTCTGAAGTCCTCAGAAAGCAGCATGAACTGCAGCAGCTGCGAGGGCCTCAGCTGCCAGCAGACCCGGGTGCTGCAGGAGAAGCTACGCAAGCTGAAGGAAGCCATGCTGTGCATGGTGTGCTGCGAGGAGGAGATCAACTCCACCTTCTGTCCCTGTGGCCACACTGTGTGCTGTGAGAGCTGCGCCGCCCAGCTACAGGTAGGGGAGTCAGCTGCCCACTTTTGCCTGCAGCCTCACCTATCCCTCCTCTTAACGGGGAGTAGGAGCCAGGTACTGGCTCGCTAATGCACAGACGGGGAATGCCCATCTTCACCCGGAAAGGGTCTTTGTATTTGGTGACCTAAAAGGCATTGCCCTTTAGAAACATTTTAGATTAGCATACTATTTTCAACAACATAATTACTCCAAATTATGCAGTGTTTTCAAGTTCTGAAAATGAGGCTGAGATTCCTGGGTAACATATCTAGTTAGCGGCTTACCTGAGGACAAGAATCCAGGCCTCCTGAGGCCTGGCCCAGGGCTGCTTCCTCTATTTCAAGTTGCCTCCCTTTTTCTGACACTTAGGAGGATGGTCTTTATTACTTAAGATATTTGGGAAAGAATACTTCTCAATTATCCATGGATGGGTTGTTGACTCTGTGATATTGGTGATTAATTTCCTTTTATGATTGCAAATGCCTCAAGGGCATATGGGTTGGCTGTTATTTATTAGCAAGTCAAACTAATTTTAATATTAACACGAAAAAGAGAACTCACATATAGTTTTCTTCCTTTCTTGCATGAAGAAGAATTTTAAATTTCCTCTTACAAGTTTTTTCAATTTGTTTTTATTTCTCAGATGTGTTTGCCAAATGTCACTGTGGTTTTATGTAAAACTGGTTCTAGATAATACTTAGTCCTTCAGAAGCTGCTAATTTCAGAGCTAATAAGACCAAATGACCCCTGTGTCCTTTCCCCAGAAGCAGTCATAGGCTTGTCTTTTTCTGCCCACCTATTCTGACTCTCATCCCTAAGTCTCTCCTGAGGGCTGATGATGGGCACGGGCTTTCTGAGAAGTCAGCCAGGAATGTGGAGCTGCCACCTACGGCTAGAAGCAGAGCCACCCTCCCTGGCCATGTGGGCATCAGCCCAGAAATGTTGGCCTGAGTCAGTCAGCTGAGCTAAGGACACACAATTTCAAGAAGGGTCTCCTGCATTGCTGCCTGAAGTGTTATAGTCTACTCATGTAGAGACCACATTCTGCACAGAAAGACGTCTTCAGTAATTGCTTTATTCAATGTACCTTCTTTAGCGTTTCACTAAAAATGTAATTAATTTCCTTCAGTTTATACTATGTCATAGTATTTATTTTTAAGCCCTTGTAAAGTATAAACTTTCAACCTGTGAGACGGCAAAGATCTCTACCAATTGAAAGCTAGAAATCACTGTGATCACAATTGATTTAGAAAATTAAATGCACTAGAGACCAGGGGTGTGCACAGAGACACAGGCCCCCCACCGAGGCTTGCATGCTAACAGAGACTGTTGGCTTTTCTTTCCCAGTCATGTCCCGTCTGCAGGTCGCGTGTGGAGCATGTCCAGCACGTCTATCTGCCAACGCACACCAGTCTTCTCAATCTGACTGTAATCTAATCTGTTGTGCTTTTGTTGGACTTGGCATGTTTCCATGAACTGCACTATTATAAACTATTAAAATGATAGATTGTGGAGAAAGTAATTATTCCAACACCCATCTGCCATGCGATGTTAAAAAAAAAAAAAAGGAAGAAAAATAACACAGCTACTCCTCACTGCAAAAACATATCCATGCGTAGAATCAACAACTCCAGTCATGGGACCAGGAGGAGCTCTGGGACGCAGACACATTCCTTGGATGTTGATTTTTTTTATGATCTAGTAAAGGAATAGGTAAAGTCTTTGATGTCAGTGAAGTGGCAACATAGCCAAAAAGTTGGGTACCTTTTAGGAAATGATGTTGTAAGTCTCCTTAATGTATCCTGAGGTAAGTTTCCTACTGGCAGCAGATTTTGTAAGAATTACTTTTAAGAATTTCATTCTTTTTGTATGGTCATGGAGCTCCAACCATTTTTAATAGGAAAGTCTTTTGTAAATTGTTGTCGTTTTAATGTCATTTCTGTCTTTATAACTTGATCAAGAATGATTGGAAGGCAAACAGGTTTACAAATCAATTCTGTGACTTTTAAAAAGTTGACAATGTTGTCAGATTTAAACCAGTGTGGCTAGTAAAAAGCAGCTCACTCAATGTGGGTGGCTCCCTATTCCTTTACGCTCCCCCTATCCCTACCCCACAAGCCTTTCGATTATAAAATACTACCAATCTTGTTATAAGATTACTGTGGAGTAGTCAAGTACTCCCCGGGCCTTCTGAGCTGGTGGAATATTTTATTTCAGACTGAAAACAGAGAGCACTCTCCTTGGGAAGGGAAAGCGGAGCTTGCTGAGTGAGAGATGGAGCCTCATGGTGTACAACTGAGGGTAGTTAACTCATCACTTCTCCCAAGCACTCGATCCCAGCTTCACCCACTGGTGTTGCTTTGCTTGAACTGTTCAAGCCTTTTATAGCCTTACCATAAGTATTTAGATATGGTGTCCTTTTCTGTTTTTGGGGGGGGAGTTTTGTTGTGTTTTTTTAAAGTAAGTGCTTAAGTATTAACTTTGGGTTGTCCCCTCTGTATGTTTCGAAGGGGTTTTGGTTCTTTTTGCTTCTGTTTTCTTAAACATGTTTTCCACTCCCACTTGGGCATTTTGGAAGCTGGTCAGCTAGCAGGTTTTCTGGGATGTCGGGAGACCTAGATGACCTTATCGGGTGCAATACTAGCTAAGGTAAAGCTAGAAACCTACACTGTCACTTTACTGAGATTTCTGAGTATACTTTTCATATTGCCTTAATGTAGCAGTAATGTGTTTATGCATTTGTTTCTTTGCACAGACATTTTGTCAAATATTAAAACTCTACTTTTTTATGGCACATATTAGCATATAAGCCTTTATTCCAAGAGGTATTTATTTTTTCACTTGTAAAAAAATAATGTTTCCACGTAAAGAACTCTGTTATATCCTAGAGGACTCTGTCTTTTATATTCGGGATAATAAAGACTTTAAAGCAAACATGGATGTGTGTATTGTCATTTAAGCCAGTTTTATTTCATTTCAAAGAAATAAGCAAGGGGTAACATCACAGTTAGTATCTACTTTCCTCCTACCGGGAATTTAATTTTTTTTTTTTAATAATTTCGGTGCTCTACAAATTCAGAGAAACTTCTTTAGTAACAAACTATAGAAATGATCCTTGAGAGTATAGTCTTTTTTTTTTTTTTTCAAGAAAACTTGAAAATATTTGTGGTATTGGTTCTAATGGAGATCACTTCACCAGGTTATTCTCTTATTTATGTCTTTGGGTGGTTAGATTGGTATGTAGGGGAAAATGGGGTCATGAACATAAGCAGATGAAAAGAAAAAATCAGGACAAGTACTGGAAGCTATTGGAGAAGGAAGGAAGTGGCAAAGCTGGAAGTTAACAATTAACAACCCAGCTGGTGCTGCTGGTGTGTGGCCTGCTCAAGACAGGGGAGTGGCCTGGGTCATAGCAGTAAGGGCCTCGGGCTACAGAAGCTCGGGCTGTATTCCTGCAGGACTGCTGGTCTACTCCTGCTAGGTCCTAACTGCTCTATGCTTGCCAGTGTGTGCTCATCTGTGTTTCTCCAGAAATACATTTTGGAATAGAGAATATTGTACATAATATATATAAGTGATAATTATCTGTAGCAATTGGAAGAAGTAAATTTATTTTTTTTAATTAGAGGCAGGGGTATTTGTTTTTACTGTACCTATAACCTAAGTCAATCTTCCATCAATTTCTAGGAATTAACTAATTTGTTCATTCAACACATTTATTGAAACCTACTAAGTTATTGAGCCCTGGAAATTTAGCAGTCATCAAGACATAAATGATTCTGGATGCCTGTATCATGTACTTAGCCTGTAACGTGTACTTTTGTCTCTGCGCGGAAGTTAGATAATATGCAGAATCCACGAATACTAGCATCAGAGGGAGTCTTGGGCATACCAGTATCAAAATGCTAACCAAGTTGATGGAGGGATGGATGGATGACAGGCTGACAGATAAGATTACATATTATTCACCCCACTAGACCATATGGACGCCTTAAGCTCAGTGACTAACATGAAAACCACTATATTACATGGTGGCATCATAGAATTAGAAGGGAAGAACAGTGGAGGCACAGGAGGCAGGGATTCATTGTGCTTAGGAGCCAAGGATAAAGGTGCTTCATAAAAGATCTGAGCAGATCCTTGACATTCTAGTTGGAAAAAGAAAGTGCATAGCCCATGCCAGGGCTGGAGCACAGTCTGCTGGGGCTGGCCCACCCGCTGCATGTCAGTGAACTGGTAAGAAATTGGGCTCTGAAGGAACATGTGATGTAGAGTCACAGTGGTGGGGAATCTTGAATTCCAGGTTTAACATGGACATGGTTCTCCACTGCCTTCAGAACAAGGAACTTTTGGGACGGGGTAGCAATCAGATCTGGTTCTTGCACAGAGAAGAAGTCCAAGAGCAGAAAGAGAACAGTGGCAGAGAACTCAATTTTGACCATCTGTCAACATGAAAAGAATGAGACAGAGTCAAAATACTTTAGAAATATGGTCAGCATTACTGAGAGAGACAAGTCGTATGAAAATCCTGTTTCTGACTTGGAATAGATAGCCTTTAATGGAGGGACAAAAAAGGGAGCAAGTCCTGAAAGTAGAAAGGAAATTACAACAGGGTTTGGCCACACATTTGAGATGCTTGGTGATGGGCAAACCTGGAGGTAGTTGAAAGCGTGGGTTGGAACTTCCAGAGGATGATGAAGATAAAGAGAAACATTTGGTGGCCATTACATTTCACTGATATTTGAAGACATGACAACTTAGAAGTCATCCATAGGAGTGTGAAAGGAGGGAAAGAATGAAGCTGAGCATGCGTCCCTGAAAGGACCCACATCTAAAGTGAACAGCGAGACTATGAAGGTATTTGAGAAAGAACCGACAACAGGATAGGGATAACGAGGGGCAGAAAGCTAAGCCAGGAGACAGCTGCAAAGAGGCGGTCAGCTGTGTTAGGACTGCTGCAGGGTCAAGGAGGGGAGTATCAAGAAAGCCATAACATGTGGCAGTATGAGGAAGTGTCAGGGCTTAAGAAAGAGTGGGTGCATTTTCAGAAGTGAGGGGATACTAAGAGGTTACCAGATTGTAGTGAGCTGAGTACAAATGTGAGGTGAGGATGCGGAAGTGGTCAGTCAAGGAGATGGCACCATAGGAGAAGGCAGGGCCACGAGAAGTGTTTTGACTTTGGGTTTTAAATAGGAGGCCCTGTGTAGGCATAGAGGAGAGGAGGGCCTCTCCTATGCACTACAGTGGTGCATGCTTGTAGTTCCAGCTACTCGGAGGCCGGGAGGCGAGAGGATTGCTTAAGACCAGGAGTTCAAGAAGAGAGGGTGAACGAAGATTCAGCTAAGGGGCCAAAAGAGGAATAAATGGAGAGCCTGGATCTTTGGAACACTGGAGAAACTGAAGACTCAACAGGCGGATCTGCCAAAGATAAAATTTACAAGACTTGAACAAAATCATTCTTTGGTCTTTTTATTAAGGGTTTCAAAAATCAGTGAAAAAGGGAGTTATTCCCATCCTACCCCATTCCAGTATGTTTATTGTATATTTATCTTGTCACAGGATGAGCTCGAATGCAACGCTGGGAAGTTCTGGGGGGAAGTGTCCCCTTAACTCTGCCATTGAACACCAAGGATCAGACGCCCCACAGGAGAGCACGCATGGGTAAAAGCATGAGCTCTTCCAAGAACAATATGAGAAAAAAGGTATGCCCCGTAGAACAGGTGTGGGGAAATTTCCAAACACATGCATTAGAAAAAGTGCAGCGGTGGCTCACGCCTGTAACCCCAGCACTTTGGGAGGCCGAGGCGGGTGGATCACGAGGTCGGGAGATCAAGACCATCCTGGCTAACACAGTGAAACCCCATCTCTGCTAAAAAAAAAAAAATACAAAAAATCAGCCAGGCACGGTAGCGGGTGCCTGCAGTCCCAGCTACTCAGGAGGCTGAGGCAGGAGAATGGTGTGAACCCAGGAGGCAGAGCTTGCAGTGAGCCGAGATCGCGCCACTGCACTTTGGACTGGGCGACAGAGTGAGACTCCATCTCAAAAAAAAAAAGAAAAAAGAAAAAGAAAAAGTGCATGCACACGTCACCACGTTTGCATGTGCGCCTGAAGGAGGGGTCCAAGGGATATTTGTGTGTTTGGAGAGCCTAAAATAAATTAGGAAGGTTGAAGTTTTTAATACCATCTGACCAAGCAATGGGGAAAAGTACCTAAGTGGAGTTTAAGCACCATCTGAATTTCAGACAAAAACACAATCATTCTTGTCTTTTTCACTGCTTTTCACATTTAGTGTCTTCTCATAGAAATTCCAAAACATTGCAGATTACTTATATTCATATCTGTAGAGTCTTCTTGAAATTCATTTATTCAAAAACTGCAGGATATTAAAGAGTTAGCCCTATGCCTCTTAAAAACAAAACTATGTCAGGACCACACAAATGATACAGATTGAACAGACCTGCCGGTTGCTTAGAGAAAAAATACACTTTAAGCAAAAGCTAAACATCTGTTGTTCATAAAGCTTGCCATAGTGCTAAGGGCAAGAAAAACTTAAAGGGGGAAGCTCTTTTTTCTATCAAGGAGTGATTCTTCTAGTTGAGAAGAAGGTATCTATATGAAACAAAAAGATAAGCAGTTCTAAAACCACACATAATGAATATGTAGATATATGTATATTACATATGTATTCTTGTATGAATGGATGCCAGTGAATGGAGGAGGACTTCTTAAAGTGGGTAAGTTGTTCTTTGTCTTGAAGTAAGTACAGGATTTGGATTGATGGAAAGGGAAAGCATGAGAATGCAAAAGAGCCCACAGACGAGGAGCAAAGGGTACAAGAGAGGACAGAAGTAGAGCCAGTTCATGAAGAGACATGACTGCTGGAATAAAAATTTCAGCTTTGCTTTGATACGTATGTGAAAGCTACAGTAAGGAGTTTATACGTTTGATTCATTTGGCCTTTTATTCCTTAACTTGGGCATTGATTTATTAATTCAGCAAGTGCACATTACATACCTAGAATATATCAGGCTCTCCGTTAGGGCTAGGGCAGTGGTTCTGGTTCAGGGGCAATATTGGCCCCCAGGAAGCACTGAGCAATGTCTGGAGATGTTCTTCAAGGGTCACAATGCGGGTAGGTGACTACTGGCATTTAGTGGGTAGAGGGCCCAAATGCTGCCAAACCTCCTAAAATGTACAGTATAACACCCCCTACAGCAAAGAATATTGACATTTCTGGCCCAAAACATCAGTATTGCTGCTGTTGAGAAACCCTGGGCTGCATGGTACAGATATCTGAGATGTAGTTCTTGCCTGCTCTGGGATTCCAAGGGCAGTGGAAGCTGTAAACTAATAATTCCACTCTACTAAGTTCTACAATCAAAGCAGGTATCAGGTGCTGTGGAAGAGCAGAAGATTTGCCACTCACTTTGCTTCAGGTTGGAAGGTTTTCTGGAGGAAGGTTGCATTGGAGAGGAGTCTTGGAAGGTGAGCCAGAGCTTGCCAGGTAGGGAAGGTGGGTGGAAGGAGCCAGTTCAAAAATGTAGCATATTTGGGGACCAGTGGGCAGTTTGGCATGACTGAAATACAGGGTATGTGGTTGGATGGGTTGGGATGAAATAATGGGAGATGGGGTTGGGGAGTTAGGTTGGAATCTTATCCAGGAAGGTGCTAGAGGCCCTGGTAACCCCTACTCCCAGCCCTACTGATAAGGTCAGTGTCCACAAAGATCATAAAAGGGAATCAAGAAGTGCTGGGTTCCTCAGTTCTGTTCACTGCACTCTTTTCTCTTGTCCATAGATCTTACTTCCTAGCCTGGGCTCTGCCAAGCATGTGTCCTCTGAGTTTTTAGTAAAGGTAATAGCAAAATAAAACCATTGCTAGTAATGTGCCCTAGAGATGGGAGCTGTCAGGTAATCATTTAGAATTTAAAAGCTCGTCTCCACATTCCTTCAGATGAAGAAAACGGTAGGATAAAAATATAGCACAGCTTATTAGTAACATCTTACCCATTTTTTCCCTAAATGGTTAGAACATGCTGCCTTTCCCTGCTCTTTACATCAGCGTTTCCGTTATTAAAGCTATTTTTCAGTTCTAAATCCTAGGAGGATTTTCCCCATGAATTTAACATGACTGAGGAAACTTGCTCCAGGGTAAAACTTTGCTGCAAATTATCTGAGATAGGCTTCTTAATAAAGAGAGGAAAAATGAATCATAGCCTTGTAGTAGTTTCAAATGTGGAGTTACCTTTCTCCTTCATCCCCACTATCATGATTATTCATAATAGACATGGGCCAGCTTTATAAATAATTACACACAACAAAAGTCCTTTGTGTTCAACACTGGAGGCTGCTGCTGATGCGGGCCAGGAGAGTGTGTGTGCCAGAGTTAGGGGAGAGAGCGCGAGAGCCAGGCAAAGCTGCTGTGTCTAAACTTCTCAAAAGGTCATCCCTACATATGAGGTGTGACACCCCTAGACTCAGGCAGCACGTTTTGAAATGGGACTCGGGTTACCTGTTCAAGCTGAAGTCCCTACAAATGTATAGCCATGACTTTCCTGGTCTTTAGATATTATATAGGCTCTTCTAAATGCAAGTGTAACTTACACAAATGAACAATTATACTGGAAAAGGAAACTATTAAAGCAGCTTATAAATCCCTCCCAGCACCCTCTCTTCTCCTCCCTTGCTGCAGGACAAAGGGTAAGCCATACCCCTATGCTTTTGTCTGTGGGAGCCATGAACCCCACCTCTACTTCAGTAATAGATGCTAAAGAGCTTTTCCCTCTTCATATCACCTCTATGTTTGAAAGCTCTTTCTCCTTTTAAAAAAATTAATTTTTCTTTTTTTTAAGGAGATGGAGGAGTCTTGCTATGTTGTCCAAGCTGGCCTCAAACTCCCAGACCTCAGCGTCTCGAATAGTTGCGACTACAGGAACATGCCATCTTTCTCCTTTTAAGAAGAAGCCATGCCTCCCCTCTCCCCTCTGGTATTTAACCTAAATTTACATGCTGTACCTAAGGATCTTTGGTGGAGTCCCTGAGCGGGTGGTTCTAAAGGCTTGATGGGAATTGGTTCATTTCATTCTCACAACATGCCCGTGAAGCAGAGATTCTCCTTGGCCTCATTTTACAGATGAGGACCTCAGGCACAGAGAGCTGGAGTGACTTGCTCAAGGTCACAGAGCTGGAAAGAGGAGAGCCAGGAGTCACACGCAGGGCTCCAAGTGTTCCCCCCAACCCACCCACAGCACTGCTTCTGAGGGGCAGCCTTACACATGGCCCGGGATGCTCCAAAAGGTTGACCTTACCACAGACCATCCGAAGGGACAAAATGGCCAGTACACTTGTTCTCTTTGTTTTTGTTTTGCTTTGCTTTTAAGGAGTGTGACTAACAGCCCAAACCCTCTCCACTAGTGCCCTGGAGTTTGAGGGTACAACCTTTGATTGCACCAGTCAGTCCTCATTAATGAGGGCTCTTAGGCTTCCCCCTTTGCACAGCCCCATCCCAGCCCAGGAAGCCATTTTACAGCAATATATGTGTATATATTAATTACCACGCATTTTTATGGGGAAAACACCTTAAATAAACAGTGAGAAGGCAGACAGGTAAAATCAAATAGGATAACAATTCTGGGATCTCCAGTGCTCTATTTGACTCACTGAAAGGACTGTGGAAATCAACTGGAGGCCTTCACTCCTGGCAAGCCTTCACAGTTTCAGAGTTTCCATGTTATTACTCATCTCCTTGCTGGCCCTTCTCCTCCCAGCTTTGAATTTCCACCACTAAGCTCTAGGGAAAGAACAAGAGCTGTGGGCTAGTCAGGCCTTAGTGGGGAGGCAGAGAATTCATGCACATCCTTCAGCTGTGCAGCGGACCCCCAAGGGCAGCTCCTGTTCCAGGCCCACACCCACCGGGAATCTGGCCAAAAGACCAGAGCCAACTCCACAAAGCATTTCTGAGAAATGGATATTTCACTCAAGGCTTTGAGGAAAGATTCTCATTATACAGGACATGTGGCAAAAAATATCCAAAACCCCCTACTTAAGCATCTCTGTTTCTCCCTTCCAGACACAATAAACAGCAACAAAGGGAGGGGCAAGGGAATGAATGACTAAAGGAAGGACAAAGTGGAAGAAGAGAAAGAACAAGGGAATGAAAAATACTTTTCTGTGAATGTAGGTGAACCAAGTATCTTCTCTGGCTGAGTTAGCAAAGGGGAATTCTATGGGGAGATGACAGTGAAGCGGGAAATTTCCCTGACCCCTTTGCAAGTGGGAACTGGAGTGCAGGCACTGGAGTTAGCCGGCTGCTTCGGCACTGGCAGGGGCGAACTCCACTCACTCGAACCCATTGCTCTCAGCTCCTCATGGGAGGGAATGCACAGGTGAGTGGATGCAGGAACTGGGGTGAGTGCTTTCAGGCACCAGCAGGAGCAAAACTTTGTGTGGGCCCCGTGGCAGCATCTAGTGGGGAGAACCTGTGATGCTGTCCATGGACAGCTTAAGTATTAAACAGCTCAGTGGGCCCTCTGCCTTTTTGCGTGAGATAGTTGCTTTCCACCAGCAAGGGTAGAAGGTCAGTGTGACAGCCTTTCTTTTCTGCACCTGTGGCACTGAGCTCTTGTTTGGTGTCCAGGAAAAATCAGGTAGCACGAACAAATTGAAGAGTGGTGAATGTGGAGGATTTTATTGCTGACGAAAGTGATGAAGGGAACCTGAAAAGGGGATGGAGTGGGAAGCTATGCTTTCAAGCCGTCCCTCTGAAGTCAAGCCTATCCCTCTGATGTCAAGCTGCTTCTCTCCAACATCCAGCTGCTTCTCCTCCCTCTGACAGCTGAGCCTGGGGTTTTTATGGGCACAAGACTGGAGGCAGGGTGGGCCATGGGTGGTTTTGGAAAAGTCAGCATTCCAGACAGAAAACAGAGATGTAAACTCTCACTTTGAGCCACAGGATTGGGCTTTTTGGCTTGAGGGTGGAGCCCTCACCAGGGACCCGACCTCTTCTGCCCAGAATTTCTCACCCTCCTGTCCCTATCAACGGTAAAATAAACATGTGAACATATTTGCTGCTTCTCTTCTCTTTATGGCTCTGCATTATTTATGAACCATGAAGGTAAATTTCAATGGCAGGAGAGTGAAGGTGGTGGACTTCTTTCCAAAATTTCTCTGACCATCTCTATGCAATTTGCCAAGAGAAGGAAGACACAAGCTGCACCTCTTACTGCAGGCCTTACTGAGGCTTTATGGAGGAAATCAATTACAAGTTATCCATAAAGCTTTGGGGCACCCAAGTTGCTCAACTACAGCTATAAAAGGAGGATAAGTCTATCTGGCAGAGCCTCAGTTTACTGTACTAGAACTTGAATATCCGTGGCTTGGGAATAAAGGAATGATCACATTTGAATGCAAATGTCTAGGGAAAGCAGATATAGCTTGTTATCTTGAATAATCTGAGTAATATGACAATGCCACCTGTTACCTAATGAAAACCAAAGACTGTCCTTACCTCAATGCCCTAGGTGCCAGCTACAAGGGCCAGTATCATTCCAGGTGTCTTCCTGCGTATGGACAAGCCTTTCTTCTGCCAGTCTTGCATCTGCAAACACATCTGCTCAGGGCACTCCCTGTGCAAAACACTCAGTAACTCCCCACTGCATGCAGAGTTCAACCCATACTCCTCAGCCTGGCAGTAAAAATCTTTCTTCACTTAACATCCACATGACTTTCCATCTCAGGTCCCTGTCCCACCTGCCATCCCACCCACTGTTGAGGCTGGCATCAGCTACTCAGCTCCCTGAATGTGCTTTGCATCCCCCTCTCTCCTCACTCCTGGACCATTGCTGAAATGTTTCAGATGCTTAGGGAGCGCTTTTCCCTTGCTTCCCTTCACAGCAGCAATATTCACCTGACCTAAACATTCTTCAGGGGCCAGCTTAAATCTCACTACTTGCCAAATTATTCCATGCAAAATCAATTTCTTCCTCCATTGTAATACCATGGCACTTTGAACCAACACATACCATCAGAGGTGTGTATGTGTGTTTCATGCATATGCCTAGATTACAATAGTTCCTTCATAGCATTTATCACTATCTGGCTTACTATACATTTACTTATGTATTTTTTATTGTCTGTCTCCTCTTCCAGAAAGTATAAAAATTTTGTATGTTTTGTTTATTACTGCATCCCCAATGCCTAGAACATTGCCTAGCAGATAGTAAAGGCTCAATAGATGAATGACTCATAGGAGCCTAGAGATCCCAGACTGTCTTGCTCATCTCTCCATCACCCCAGAGTGGCTGGCAAAGTGCTTTGCACATGCTTCTTGGATCTGACTGGATTGAAGAGCCGGCCACCTGGGTTTGGCTATGTACATCTCCTCTGCTTTGAACAGAAGATATGGATTTAACTGCCAGTTACACAGCTGTGGGGCTGCAAGCCAGGCAGATGTGATGGGGGCTGAGACTCGTACAGGAAACTCCCAGGTTAACGGGCAGCCCTAATTGCTAAATCTAATTAGGAAGGAAATCAGTTAAATTAAGAATCCTTCATGTAAGAAAACCAAACAAAAAGCTGTTGGGCAAAATTTTTCATTCTTCATTCGCTTTAATCAGCTTCCTTGAAGAAGAAGGCAAGATAGCAGGATTTCAGCAGGAGTGTTTTATTGGGCCAAAAGTCATGCTCCCATGACTACAGAACCCCAAAAAGAAAGAACAACATGGTCTTTGGCCACTAGGATCCTCTTTGACATGTGCTCTGGAGGAAGCTGCTGTGTCACCTTTCCAAAGAGCCTACGGATTATCGCTGTGAAAGCTCAGGCTGTCAGGTTTGAATCGTTGCCAACAGGCTTGCAATGTGAAGGGCTGATCCTCTTAATTGAGCAAAAGCACACCGTCCCCGCCACTGAAGCAAGCGACGCAGAGGCACCGTGCAATTCACCTCTACTGCTGAAGCAGTTACTTGTGTGGTCTTCAGTCGTTTGGTCCGAAAAGACAGATATTTTTCTCAGTATTTGCGACTTTAATGTGTTTGCATCATCATCTTCTGCAGCACCTTAAGTATCACAGAGCTGCTGCTTTATTTTTTTCCTGAGGAACCCATCAGATATATATGAAAACAAAGAGATACGATAATATGAACATCCCTAAGAATTACCATCGATACCAACAGGATTGATATATGTGAAAAACTATATATACATCTATACAGTATATTCAAGGCATATATTCAGGAAGCAGAGTGGTCACTTCAGCATCATCTCCATCAGGATTCTAGGTCAGCTCTTTCACAAACCTTGTGAATTGGGACAAGTCGAATAAGCTCTCTAAACTTTGACTTCCTCAACTGTAAAATAGGAATAAAGATAATACATGTTCAACCCCGTCTCTACTAAAAAATACAAAAAATTAGCCGCGCGTGGTGGCGGGCACCTGTAGTCCCAGCTACTCGGGAGGCTGAGGCAGGAGAGTGGCGTGAACCCGGGAGGCGGAGCTTGCAGTGAGCCGAGATCGCGCCACTGCACTCCAGCCTGGGCGGCAGAGCAAGACTCCGTCTCAAAACAAAACAAAACAAAACAAAACAAAGATAATACCTGTTCATGGTCATTTTTTGAAGATTAAATGAGATAATGCCGTAAAGCACTTAACACTGTGCCCAGAATATAGTAACCACTCCGTCAATGTTGACTGAATACATTAATAGGCTGCCAGGCATCCTCCAACCACTGACCCAGACTGGCTACATTTCTGAGACAATGGGGCTTATTCTCATCCTCAAAACAACTGGGTCCTGAGGCTATGTTTACAGCTGTGCTGGTTGCACCCTGTACAACCCTAAGAAGCATCATTCAAAGTTTATGCCTCAAGGATCTAGATATTGACTATTACAATTTTACAGCATATTATAACAATTTCCCAAGAGATGGAAATAAAGCATCGTGAGGAGTGGGGAGACTTTCTCCACTTTGCACAAAGGCACTCTACAAACAAGCCCTGGCCCTGGGCAGTAAAGACAAGCATTGGCGCCAGCTCCCTGGAAGAAAGCAACTCGAGTTAGATGACTGTTGTTTTAGCCACAGTTGGGCCCTTTCATGGGACTCTAAACACTGTAAGTATTGTGGAACAGGGCTCAAAAGCTGCTCTCGCTGGACGGTCTTTTTGGTTTGGAAAAGTTAGCTAACTGTGTTTGCTGTCCTTCTTATAATTATTATCTTATTTTACTAGATTCTTTGTTATGTCCAAGCAGTCTGTTGTGTTCAAACACAGTGACAGTATCTGTTCATCAGCACCGTCCACCTGCCATAATAATGATCAAAAGGCCACCCAAGCTCCCAGCACACCATCCTGAATCCAGCCAGTCCTGCCTGGAATAAGGCTGTCTGCAAACTCAGCCTTCCTCTTTGGAATAGGGACATGTCCTGAATGTGGACAGAAGACCTGAATACCCCCAGGCTGACTAGCTGAGGGTCAGCAAGAAGGATGGGCAGAATAAAGCAAGGAATGTGAGCCCAGGGGATCGAAAGAAACCATCGGGGCTACCACCACGCAGCAACCAGAGATGGGCGTCTGGAATGGTCACCTGAGCAAGGGGCCCCGGGAGATACAAATAGTCATAAGGACACAGCAGGCCACAGCTCCAGAGTGGGAACCTCTCCCTTCTTCAAACCCTGACAATATGCTGTCCCTAGCTCCCTATATTAGATTTAGGCATTGCCTGCTCACCCTCCTGGAAGTTTGTTCATACAAACGTGTAAGAACAATGACTCTGCCCTCCCTCTTACTTGTTTCTACCACAATAGTAAATCCATGCTGGTTGAGCATAAACCTATCCACTCTCTTCCATCCTGTACATTTCTCTGTCTTCATTGTAGTGGTGGTGGTCACACAACTCTATGAATTTGTCAAAACCCTAGAGCCATATATACCACAAAGAGTGAATATTACTGTGCGCAAATTAAGAGAGGGGGGTTATGGCAGACACTGTTGATTGCCTGCACAACAGCTCTTCTCCCTGACTCTGCTTCTGTTCTCACAAAATCCTGATTTTATTTTATTCAGCCTCCTTTAGGGGAGGCTGAACCTTCCCAGCCTCATAGGGATACATCTTGATTAATCTAAACCAATCGGGAATTCGATTCCTCCTGTCACGTATTGGTTTGGAAATGGCATTTGATAGGATTCTTGCCAATCTAAGGTGTGAAGGTCTGGGCCGGGTGCGATGGCTCACGCCTGTAATCCCAGCACTTTGGGAGGCTGAGGCAGGCAGATCTCTTGAGGCCAGGAGTTTGAGACCAGCCTGGCCAACATGGTGAAACCCCGTCTCTACAAAAAATACAAAAATTAGTCAGGCATGGTAGCGGGTGCCTGAAATCTCAGTTACTCAGGAGGCTGAGGTGGGAGAATTGCTTGAACCCAGGAGGCGGAGGTTGCCTTGAACCGAGATCATGCCACTGCACTCCAGTCTGGGCAACAGAGCGAAACTTAGAAAAAAAAATTAACTTAAAACATTTTTTAAATAAGATGTGAGGGTCTGGAAGCTTCTGCTCAGGTTCTCTTTACAAAGGGGCTTCACCTGGTTCTCTGCTGTCACCCGAGCCGATTATGCACCAGGGCCTGGTGGGGCTCCTGCTCTGCGCCATGGCCTTTGACATCATCATCACACCGGCTGGCAGGGGCTGGTTGCAGGCGAGTGACCACATCCACACATCCTCGCCGGAGTGGAGACGCTCCCACAAGTGTGGCCACCAGGGTCTCATGGGGGGAGACATGGTGAAGAGCGGCTGCTATGCTCCTCTGTGGCTCTATCACCCTCAAGATCTATTCCATCCTCTGCTTCTTTGCCCTCTATGGATCCCAAGCGCTTGTCTTCGTAGGAGTGACTAGAGCCTCTCGCTCTGGTTGCTGTGTTCCGAATCATCCTTCTGGTAATACACCCGTGAAATACACCCAGACCTTCAGCCTTCATGCCAAGCCTGCTGTCACATCTATTACTGGACCTACAGCTTCAGATGGGTGCCCACAATTATCCTGATCGGCTGTGCCTTCTCCTGCTGCTGCCTCCCAAACTGCGAAGATGACCTCCCGGACAACCTCAGACCAAGTACTTACATACATCACCTCAAGTGGGGAATGAGAGAGGAGGAAAATTGCTGGTGGGAAGATGGATTTGGAGGAAGGAACTAGTTGCAATCCATCAGAAGCCATGCTATACGATTAGAGCCCAGTTAAACTTGAGATGAAAATATCAAGCCGTTTTTAATCCTCAGGCTGTTTTCTTCAGGCTGCTTTGAACCTATTTTTTGGCAGTCGATATTACTAAACTAGTCGAAAATGCTAGCACAATTTGGGAGAAAATATTTCTTAAATACTGTTAGAGTTTCATGTTCATTTTTGATTTACGTTTTGTGAAGTTAAACACCACTCATTACCTATATTTGACAATATTTCCTTATATTATCCGTACAATTTATACCACATTTGTAAAAGAATATGAATATGAAACTTACCCCTTTATATAGTAAAAATGAGAAGGCTTTCAAGATTTAATAATCTGATCAAATTTTTGTTTTTACTAGATGGAATGGACTGTCTATTAAGGGCTAAGAAAAGGGAGATATTGGTAAAAATTGTCAGTTACCAAACATTCCAAAAAAATGCAAGAAGATAAACATTTTTGCAAGCCTTCAGATATTTAAAGAAGCAAAATAGTTTCCTACAGGCATAATATTTGTGAGAATTTGTAATTACTATCCTGAATAATTGATTTTTTGCTAAGCTTCACATTAACTTGAGGCATCACCTAGGAACGTATTCTTTCATGGCCAAGGCCTGTGTGGTAGTGAGGCCTCCTTAAGAAGTAAAATGTGAAAATGAAATTTCCTCTTTTGAAGTGGTTTATGGGGTGAGGATGTGGGAAAATGCTATATTAATAAATTCGTACTGTTTTATGTCTATATGTTCAGGCTCAGAGCAGACCAGACTGAAAGATGGACTGGGTCTAATTCATCATGATGATAGATTTGATTAGATTGTGTAGTGAAGCATTAGAAGGGCCATTCCTATCACAAAAAACACCATTCCAACAGCCTAGGAGTAAGAAATGGCTTGACTTTTGTTTTCATCTCAGGTTTAACTAGGCTCTAATTATATAAATACAGCTTCTGATAGATTGCAACTGTAAGCAAAAACCAACATATAGTTAAAAATGTGGTCTTCCTTGGTAAATAGATCCAAAATGTCTAATGTAAAACATGCAGCAGCAGATTTAAGGAATGTGAGTTTCTCTCAATGGCATATATATGATATATCCAGAGGATTTTTATATTGTTTGTACTTATATAATGAAATTCATTTTACTGCCGGGCATGGTGGCTCATGCCTATAATCCCGGCACTTTGGAGGGCCGAGGTGGGAGGATTGCTTGAGTCCAGGAGTTCTAGACCAGCCTGGGTAACACAGTGTGACCTCAACTCTAAAAAAAAAAAAAAAAAAAAGAAATTCATTTTATATATTGAATCATTATTTTGTAAGTTGTGAAATAAGCAATTGCAGTTTTCATTATGATTTTTCCCCAGTAACCAGGTATTCTAATTTTTAAAAAGAGCTAGAGGGCAGGGATTCAGAAAGATGACACGCCCTCTGCTTTTCCGGCTTTTGGCATTGTGTGAGGATGTAATGCATGGAGCTGCTAATGCAAGCTTGTGAAGATGAGGGGTGCTAGCGCATATGATGAGGATGGCAGACCTGATAGGTGGAAAGATCTAGGTCATCCTGACAACATTAAGCAGCTGAACTCACTGATCCCAGAGCCTCAGGCCACCCCACCCAGCCCTTACCATCTCCTGTCCTACTGCCATGGGAGGTAATACACTTTTTCCTTATTGTTGAAGCTGCTTTATTTGATTTTCCTATTACCTGCAGCCAAAAGCATTGTGATTAATACACTGGTCTCGTGCTGCTGGAAATGAATCATGCCTCCTGTAGGGTTGTATCCAACAACAGACACATGGCAGGTGTCTGTTATACCATCCACAAGATACAATGTGTTTGTTTTGCAGAAATTGTCTCTATCACCTGTGGGCTTTTGCTACCCATAGAGCTACTTGTACCTAATTCAACCAATAAAAATAATGCTAGAAACTGAAGCCAACAAAGCTGTCAAAATTTGTCTTGGGTTCTTGGGTTAGACAACTTGTTGAGATTTTATAATACATTTCCTTTTCTCTCCTCTTTTTCTAGGTTCTTTCCTGCTGGATGCGAAACACTCAATTATCACTTCCTCATGTGTGTAGTCTCCCTCACTGAGTCAGCTCTCACTGGGGCCTTCCCATGACTTGTTTGTTGTCTTTATCTGTCTGAAGCCTCATCTTCCTTTGACATTTATCTTCATCTGGAAATTCTATAATCTTCCTTTTCCTCTTGTCTTGATCTTACATAAAATCAACATTGTCCATTGAAAGTTATGTTTAAGAAGCATTGTTAACAAAACTATCATGAAGTCCCTTGTACCTTGTTAAAAACCACTGTATTCATAACTTTGTTGTTTTTTTCAAATATATTTTTCTCTGGATTGAAACTGCTTACCATTCAGGTCATTGGAAGTCTCTTCATTCCCATTAAACTCTTTTTCAGGTTTGACATCTTTGTCCTCTATTAACTCAACTTTGAGTATCTCCTTTTTAATCCAACAGAAAAAGCTCCTCCCCTATCCTTCCAGCCCCATGACTGTAAGATAAAAAATTTCCTGCTACAGGCATCTTGCAGGCAATGTGCCAGACAGGCAATGCATCAAACAGCCGACATTGATCAGAACTCAGCCCTTGTCATATATCTCTTCCTAAAATGCCTAGCAGAATAATTTGTTGAGTACATGCTCAATAACTTAAATTGTTTTGAATTAAATCAAATTAAAGTCTTACAGTCACTACTGGAGGGAGAACAGGCAACATGTATGAATTTTCACTGTTTTGGAGCACATGGAAAAGAACATCAATACTAGTAGCATCTCAAGATCCCAGTGGCTAGACCCAGCCTACACACGACAGTCAAAATTTACTATTTATGATGTGGATTATCTCATACTAGTCCATTGCTTCACTTTCTACTGACTGACACCTCTGGCACATTTCATCCTTTTTCTTCTTTTTCTTTTTTTAGAGACGGGGTCACCCAGGCTGGAGTACAGTGGCATAATCATAGCTCACTGCAGCCTCGCTCATGAACTCAAGTGATCCTCCCACCTCAGCTGACCAAATAGCTGGGACTAGAGGCATGCCCACCACACCCGGCTAAGCACCTTTGATTCTAATATTGAAAATATCATTATAAAATATCTAGTAGGTATGGATTAATGAATGAGTTAAATGGCAGATGTTTGACCCTAATAAGTAAAGGTTTCGGGACGCCAGGGAGATGGTAATATCTGGGATCTTCTTAGGCCTCATTACCAGGACATAAAGAAACAAAATGAAGTTTCTCAAAATGCCCATTTAATACATTATTTTTTATCGTAATAAACATACGGCCTTTTCAGATCTTATTTTTGTTCCTTCTATTGTTAGTCCTGAGTGTTTGCCTATGGTGACAGCCAGATTTCATTTCATTCATTCATTCATTTATTCATTCTGACCATCATCTGGGGGCCAAGCACTGTGGTGGGTACTCAGGGTGCACCAGTGAACAGAACAGACAAAGCCCTGCCCTCTTGGAGTTTACATTCTAGTGCAGGCAACATGGGAATATAATAAATCCATAAACTCAGGAAGAACTTAGTTCTTTTTAGATCAATAAGGCCTGACTGTGAACTGTGAACTGTGAAGGGACAGATTCCCTGAAGAGGTACCGAGACCTCATTTTAAAAGAAGACTTTTTATTTTTGGACATTCTTTAGATATTGACTTTTTCTGTTCTCTAGTAGAAGTATCTTGCAGCAAGGAATAGAAAGACTGAAGTCAATTGATGCGATATTAGGAAAGTCCTGTCTTTTGCTTCTCTGGGCCCCTGTGTGGACTTCTGTGAATGAAAGAATAAAAAACAAAGTGCTTTTCCTATGCTCTTACTCAACAACAATCAACACAGAAGACTTCTGTGACCTCTGGGCACGAAGAAGTTTGTGGAGATTTCTCCCAACCAGCAGCCAATCAATCAATCCAGCAGAGGACACTAGCTGGGTGTCCTCTTATTCAATTCAATTCTGATGCTATCTACCTGGAGACAGCATCAGATCCCACAGGTTGAGGGCTCAGTCCCACAAAACTGCCCTCCACCGCCCCAGGATCCTCTCCTTTTTTTAGGGTCCATTGATTAGCAACCTTAATTCTATATGGAACCTTAACTCCCCCCTGCCAAATGAGGGGGAAAAACACACCCAAAGCGTTCCCTCTATTCTCTCACTTAAACAATCAACACAGAAGACTCCTGTGACCCAATTGAGGAGGTGTTTTTCCCATCCACCAAGCAAGCAAACAATTCCTCAGTGGACACCAGCTGGGTGTCCTCCAATTCAATTCGATTCTGATGCTATCTACCTGGAGAGAGTGTCAGATCCCAGAGATTGAGGGCTCAGACCCATAAGACTGCCCTACCCCCAACACACACACCTTCCCATGCAGATCGCAAGCCCCAGGTTGTATTATCTGTGCTTCTGACCAACTGGCTATACACTAGGGTTCCCACAACCCCGCCGGGTTCCCTTAATTTGTTAGGGCAGCTCACAGACCTCAGGGAAACACTTAAGTTTTCCTGTTTATTATAAGGGATGTTACAAAGGATACAGATGAAGAGATGTGTAGGGCAAGGCATGCAGGAAGGGACACAGAGCTTTCGTGCCCTCCCTGGGCACACCACCTTCCAGG
Source organism: Homo sapiens (assembly GCF_000001405.40). NCBI lineage: Eukaryota > Metazoa > Chordata > Mammalia > Primates > Hominidae > Homo > Homo sapiens. Next base: position 16,166,166 of record NC_000006.12, read on the forward strand.
AACCTCCACTGTCTGGAGGTTCAGCTACCTGGAAGATTCCAGAACATAGTCCTTTTTGATTTTTAAGCTTCATTAGGGAGGCATGATTGATTAAGTCATTGGTCATTGGTGACCAACATAATCTTCAGCCCTTCTCCCCTTCTCAAGGTTTCGGGGTGGGGCTAAAAGTCCCAACCCTCTAATCTTGCCTTGGTCTTTCTGGTGACCAACCCCATCCTGAAGCTACCTAGGAACCGCCCCTATTAGTCAATTCAATAGCACATACAAAGCCACTTATTACTTTGAAGAGTCCAAGGATTTTAGGAGTTGTATGCCAGGAAACTGGAGGATAACCAAGTACTGTATATATTTCACAATATGACAGCCTCACTTTCCATTATAACAAAATAAGGAAATTAGATAATCAACAAGGCTCTCTGTAGCTCTGAAATATTAACACTGTGATTTTATGGAACACATATAAGAAATCCTCTAGCTTTTTTTATTTGACTTTTCCAGCAGTTAACGTGTTTTTTTAAATATCAGAAATCTAAGTGGTCAATACTCTTCTTAAATGAGTTTGTCTATCAGATTACCTCATTTTATAAATTTATTATAGAGAAGTTGCTGCAATCTTAGCATTTCTGTGAATTGGAGACCATGATTCAGACTTGTTGATGAGGTCCAGAATAACTGAGGGACATATCTCAGTAGGGTTTAGATTGTCAATAAACGAAATCAAGGAGGTATCTAAAGGAGTTCTGATCTTGCTTATTAGAAAAAGTTCAGGAAACACAGCAGAGAAATAAGTTAAAAAAAAAAATCTCTGGAGGCAGTAGGATCTGACCAGAGAAAACAACCACTAAAATGTTCACAAGTGCCAGGGGGAAGGAGGTAACATTCCTCACATTTACAGACCTTTGAAGCTCATTTTAACTTGGGAACTTTATGGACATAAGGATAAATCCAGGGCTGCCTGGTTAAGGGTCGGGTCTCATTACTCCCTAGTTAACAATTCACATTTTAAAATGAAAGAACCTGATTTAAATGTAATCCTGTCTTTAGGCTTGAAGACAAGTAAAATGCTATTTTTATCTAATACATAAGTAAAAGCAAGAAAATCCCCTCCAGAGAGTGGAAGCTGTTCATGGCTCTATTGTAATTTCTGTCTGCAAATGTGTGAAAGAAACTTTCAAGGGAAAAATGTTCCAGAAAGTAACCTTTTAAACGTTAAACCACTGCACTTTAGAAAGCAAGATAAAGAGCTTTGTACCCCAAGCTATTTCTCTGTTCCTTTTTTCTTGAGCTAAACCTCCTGTGTAATAATTTCTTTGGAATGCTTTGTTCTGAAGAGATGTTTCATGCGACTGGTGCCTTGTCTCAGTAATCAAAGACACACTGAGTCAAATTTGGCCTTTGGAAAACAACCTGGATAATGACTGCCTGTAATTATGTAAATGTTTAGATAATAACTGATTTTCAATTTAATTTGATGGAGACAAAACTTAGCACATCCTTACCCAATGCCTCTCCTTGTAAGTGGCCACTGTGTCTTCTGGGTAACTTGAGAACCTGGCAACAATATCAGGAACATAGTAGGTGCTTTATAAATAGTTAGTAGATGAATGAATGAATGAGTGAATGCTTAATAAATGTGCTTGATCTGATCCTAAAACAATTTTTTTCCTTTTAGAAATTCAGCCATTTAGTCATCATTTTCTGAAGCATATTTCAAAAGTATACTAATATTGAAGAGTAATTAATAGAAAGCAACTGACACTATGTCTTTGTTAATGCTGCACCCCCTTCCCAAATAAATTTCATGGTTTATGGCTCTCCAGAGGCGAGGGAACAAAGCCACTTGGGAGAAAAGTATCTGCTGAAGTTTTTGGTTTTTGCTTTTCTAAAACTGCCTCAAATTCAGAAAAAAAGGCCATAGTTTTCATGGCTATGGGGTCCACACTCTAGTCTCCATGCAGAATCTTTCCCTAGTGACTGGACTTGTTTTGGCAGCCCTCAGGGTAAATTACTCTCCTCGATAGCCCTCAGCAATCACAGAGGCTTATCTCAAATTCTTCTTGTCGAAATGGGATGTGTACTTGGTCTTACCACTTGAAGAAAAAATGTTTAAACACTGCACAGTTTACCAGATCTTACTTTGAGGTGTTCTCTGGGGTTAGCCAAACAAATGGAGAAGGTCTAAGTAAACTGTTCAAGACTTTCAGCCAACGCTGAAAGTGCAGTGCTGGAATTGCCTGACCCCAGAGAGAGGGTAACTCTGAGCGTGCAGTTTCTAGATCAAGGTCGGGAGGTGCTGACCACAATGGGGCCATGGGTGGAGGGTGATGCCTTAGGCACCACTGAGGAAGTAGAAGAAAGATCTAACCCTGGAGGTATCTTCCTCCTGATTTTTTAGTTTTTCTGGAGAGCCCCTCAGAGTGTGGGAAAGTGTGTAGTGGACTGGGATTTGGGAGTGTTACCTTCCTTCCAGCGACCCTCTACTTTTCTACCCACTTCTTGCTGATACAAAATCTCCAGGTGCAAAATTTCTTGGTGACCTCTGTGCCCCGCTGCAAGCAGCTTCCATAGAAGGCAGATATGACCTCAGCATTACACACAGGCATTTTTAAAAAATAAAGGATGCTATTTAAATTAAGGAACAATTTAAGCAAACAAAAGACAGAATAATAAACAGACTCTATGTGCCCACTACCAGGAGTAAACAGACTTGAACATTTTGCTTATTGATATGGTCTGGCTGTGTGTTCCCACCCAAATCTCATCTTGAGTTGTAATCCGAACTGTAATCCCCAGGTGCTGGAAGAGGGAACTCTTGGGAGGTGATTGGATCATGGGGGCGGTTCTCCCATGCTGTTCTCTTGTGATAGTGAGTTCTCAACAATATCTGATGGTTTTATAAGGGTCTGTTCCCCCTTTGCTCTGTGCTTCTCTCTCCTGCCACCTTGTGAAGAAGGATGGTTTTGCTTTCCCTTCTGCCATTATTGTATAAGTTTCCTGATGTCTCCCCAGCCATTTGCAGCTGTGAGTCAATTAAACCTCTTTTCTTTATAAATTATCCAGTCTGGGGCACTTATAGTAGTGTGAAGCCGAACTAATACACTTACTTACTTTAGGCCTTTTTTTTTCTTTCTTTTTTTTTTTTTTAAGAAATAAGATTTTATAGAGTTAAAAAAAAATCCTCCCTCAATTTAAGTATCTGCACAGCTATTCTTTCTATTCTTTTTTATCTTTGAATTGCTCATAATTAAAATCAAAATAATTTGTATATTTGTAAATTGTTTTGATTTTAATTATGAGCAATTCAAAGATAAAAAAGAATAGAAAATAATACAATGACTATATACCCACCATTGAGATTACATGCATGATACTATTTTGCCTTATTTGTTTTAACCTTGTTCTAAATTTTTATTGTGGAAAATTTCAGACACATACAAGAGTAGGAAGAATAGTATAATGAGCTCCATGGACCCATCACCCAGCTTCAACAATTGTCCACTCATGGACAATCTTGTTTTATCTGTGGGGTAGTTATAGATAATATAGATTCTACATTCTCCCATATGTTATTTATCTATACACATTTCGTCATGTATCTCTTAAAGAGAAGAACGTTAAAAAAAATAACTGCAATGCCATTATCATACTTAAATGTAGCGATAATTCACTAGTGTCTGCTATTAGCCAAAATCCAGTCAATGTTCAAATTTTTTCATTGTAAAAATAATTTTTTTTCAATTTTTGTGTTTGAATCAGGATTCAGATAAGGTCTACACCAAGCTTAAAGCCAACCTGCAGCCTGCAGGCCACACAGGGCCCTGGACAGCTTTGAATGCAGCCCAACACAAATTTGTAAACTTTTTTAAAACAGTATGAGTTTTTTTGCAATTTTTTTCCTCTTAGCTCATCAGCTATTGTTAGTGTTAGTGTATTTTATGTATGGCCCAAGATAATTCTTCTTCTTCCAGTGTGACCCAGGGAAACCAAAAGATTGGACACCCCTCATCTACATATTGACATTGATTTGACAGAGACAGTTATACCTCTTTCTTTCCAATTTTTATTCTTCTAATTGCTTGTTCTTATCTAATTGCATAGACTAGGACCTCCAGCCCAGTATTAAATAGCAGTGGAGATCATGGCTATCCTTTGTCTTGTTCCTCACTTTAATGGAAAGTCTCCAGTGTAATCACGTTAAATAAGATGCCAGCTTTTGAGCTAAAGTATACACACACACAGACATATAATCACATGTATAACATATTAAAAATCACATATGAATATAAAGTATACATTATTTATATATTTCAGTAAATGTTGTACCATATATAACCATATATAATGATATATGTAATTATATATAATCATACGTATTTAAAAAACAAAATAGTCATCAATGTATATTTTTAAGTGTTAAGTTTATCAGGTGCGTTATCTACCTCTGTGAAGATGATTATATGACCTTTTTCTCTTTGTCTTAATATGAAGGATTATGTTATTAAATTTTCTAATAATGAATCCCTCTTGTTAAAGATGATGCTGATTCTTGTAGCAACTAGAATTATAAATGGAAAAGGCTACAAATTATCTCAGAAAAAGAAATCTAGATCTCCTATTTGATAGGGAAAGAGAATTTATGTACCATACATGTGTGTGACTAAAATAATCAACTACTGATGTTTAATTTTTTAAATCTCCCTGTATAACAACTATAATTAGACTTGAGTTTCATATACACCTTTCAGATGCTATTGCCAAGTACATTCCCAGTTTTTAAATATGTTTCTATTCTTTAGCAGAGTAAACAGCAAAAGGTGCTAGAAGGCAAATAAATGTGCAGGGAGACAGAGCAACACGTGCCCAGAGTATTTTGTGCTGCCCAAAGCCATTTGGCTTTGAAGAGATTCAAAGGAAGAAACATCTGATGTTCAGACACTAAGATGAAAGAGTTAAAGGGCTTCTTCCCAAAAACCCATAACCCTAGCCTAATCGTGAGAGAAACATCCGTTGAATTCTAATTAAGGGAAGTTCCACAAAATTCCTGACCAGGACTCCTCAAAACCATCAAGGTCATCAAAAACAAGGAAAGTCAGAGACACTGTCATAGCCAAGGGGCACCTAAGAACAAATGACAACTAAATGTAGTGTAAGATCCTAGATGGGTTACTGGAACAGAAAAAATACGTTGGGTAAAAACGGAGAAAGTATGAATCCATTATGGGCTTTAGTGAATAGTAACAATATTGGTTCATTAATTGTAACAAATGCACCGCACAAATGCAAGATGTTAATATTGGGGGCAACAAGTGGGGGGACTTGAGGTAAGGAGCTGCCAAGTGATGAAAACTGGTGTGCCTAGAGGCAGATTTTCAAAGCATTCTCTCTTCAAAACATCTTTTTCGAAGATGTTTATACTACCTGATAAGCATCTCCATACCCCATGGCTGTAGCAGCAGTAAAATAGAGGACAGTAAAGCAAATTGTCTTGAAACATTTATTTCCAATGCAAAATGGAGCTTTATACTGTGTGTGTTATAAATCTATGTATTCTTCTCTACCTGATGACTATAATTGCAAAACAGAGCTTGCTGTGACTTCCAATGGCAGGAAGTGAGCCTGCTACCACTCTCCTGTGGACATTCCCTATGAATACACAAAACCCATCCTTCAACCACATCCTGGGCACAATAATGAAGAAATACAAGATCAAGTGCTGAAAACCAGATTGGAAGAAAAAGGTGAACACCTTGAGCAAAGACCCATGATAGAACAACTTAGCAAAATGTTCTTTAGTATTACACGCTGTTGGTATTCTCATGGACAGTATTAAAGATGTTGCAAGAAACTAGATCTTCTAAAAGGCAGATGACTGAGGTACTCGGGGGAATCAAAGAGAAATGTTCTTCATTTGCCATTTGAGAAAATGCAATCCGGGGTGTTCACTAACATGTTATATAGTAAAGTCAGAATAATGAATGTCTTTTCATATTAAAAAAATAGTAGGGGGAAGTAGGTGTGGGACATATGAGGACTGTCTGCACTATCATAATTTTTCTGTAAATCCAAAACAACTGTAAGATTAAAAGTTTATTTTTAAAATTAAAGAACCTTAAAAAATAATACAGGTACATCTTTTCTCCAGATGCCAAGAGAAGTAGAATTATATTCTTGAATTCCCCATCCGTTTTTTTCAAACTACCCACTAGTGCCAGCTCAAGGAGCAGTTTGCTTTTTTCATTTAGAAGTATATTTGGAGGCTGGGCATGGTGGCTCACACCTGTAATCCTACCAGTTTGGGAGGCCAAGGTGGGTGGATCACCTGAGGTCAAGAATTTGAGACCACCCTGGCCAACATGGTGAAACCCCAACTCTACAAAAATACAAAAATTAGCCGGGCATGATAGCGGGTGCCTGTAATCCCAGCTACTCAGGAAACTGGGGCAGCAGAATCACTTGAACTTGGGAGGCAGAGGTTGCAGTGAGCCGAGATCACGCCATTGCACTCCAGCCTGGGTAACAGAGTGAGACTCTGTGTCAAAAAAAAAAAAATAGTAGAAGAAGAAGTATATTTAGGCTTATTTTGGTGAAGGAAAGTGGTAGATGGAGTGAACTGGAGAAGTGATTTGGAGAAAAGTCAAGATGCAGCATCAAAGCCTTTGATGGGACACACTGCCTTCCTCTCATAGGCATTCACGAGTTGACAGCCGTCTTTCCTTTTCTCTTCTGTCTCTCCATCTTTCTTTTTTATTTTGAGGAGATCAAGCCTGCAAATTAAGACAGAAACAATACTACTTCGAAACTTCTTTAGCAGCGGTCCTCGGTGCTCCGGGTTGTGACACGCTCCTCGGTTTCTGTTTAGCATTAGCTCTTCAAATCTGGTCTTTAAGTTCAGTATCTCCCAGGAGCCTTGGCTTTCCTGAGCTTTTATTGTCTTGTTATTCTGCTTACCTGACATAGAGATAAAACCCTCTCACTCCTTTGTAAGCAGCCTGGAGTCATCGCCCAAAGATGTAACTGAATCTTCCTCAAGATGTCATTCTATAAAAAGGGGCCTGACCCAATGCTTCCTATGTATTTCAAAGACATGAAGGACACATTTGCTGTTTTCCAGTAAACCACTTAAATATATAGTACTTGTTCAGAAAACTTGCCACAAAATCCGTTGCAAAAGAATTATTTCAATCAGGAAGCAAAAACATCTGGATTTTTATGACGTACCAAGGTACACCAGTCCAAAGACACAAACATCACAAAGGCCTGGCCTAGATATCATGAATAGTGGCTCTTGTTGAGACAGCTGCTGGGGTCTTGGGCATAGCAGGCTGCACATGGCTGGCTGTGCAGTCTAATGCACTTAATATCTTCATCTTAGCTATAGATTGCCTTTGTCATGCTTTAGTTCCCTTTCATTTACATTCATCTTCTGCTCAGTTCCTTCCTACCATATTTTCTTTGAATTGATTGAAAAAAGGACTGTTCATGGTTTGCTTCTGGTCCAAGACAGTGAGTTCATGGGAATAACACAAAAGCAATTTTAAAAGGAGGAAGTTTTCTCAGGCTTTTGGGGATACTTCTCCAGAGATGGCATGCTTCTAGTCAAGGCAGCTGTGCTGTTTGAGATCACAGCCTGATCTCACGGGGCTTTCCCTTTAACTTTTTAATATGGAATATTTCAAACTATGGAATATTTCAAAATATTTCTCATACAAAAGGAGAAAGAATAGTATAATGAACCCCCAGCTTGAACAATTATCCCCTTATGGCCAATCTCATTGGATGTGTATTTCCAGCCATTCCCTGACCACCCTTCTTCCCTGGGTTACCCTGAAGCAAATCCAGGATGTTATATAATTTCATCTAAAACTATTTTCTATGCATCTCTAAAAGATTTGGACTCTTTCTGAAAACATAACTATTATCTGTTATTACAACAAACAACCCAACATTAATTCCTTGATATGTTCAAATATCGTCAGTGTCCAAATTTGCCCATTGCCTCAAAAACAGTTTTTCTTTGTATTATTTCCTCATTTATTTTTATATGTCATTTCAATGTAGACTAAAATAAGACTTACATATTGCAATTGGTTGATGTATCTCTTTATAAAGTTTCCCCTTTATCTTCCTATACCACATCCTCCCTCCCCCCTCCCCTTTTTTGAGGCTTTTGTTTGTTTCTTTTTTAACATGAATAAAGTGAAGTAAACATTTAAAAATGGAACTCGAAGAGGACAACCAACCAACCAGTAGATGGGATATTTTCCCTTTCTTTTGAAAAGGTGACTCCCTCTGGCATTGGACAGTGTTTTACTTTTTTCCCACTGAGGATGCAAGTCCAGCAGGTTTCTCCTTAATTTGCTTGAGGGTTGAAAGGACAGCAGTAAATTCCAGGTCACAACCAAACTGCCTATTTAATTCCCGGAGTGTTAAACATTAACACCCAGGCCTTGCCTCCCCAGAAATCAGCATTTGTTGATACAAAGTGTACTCTGGCTTACAACAGATACCTGGGCTTTTCTAGCAGCCTATTTTTACTCAGTCACACACCCCACCCCAGCTTGCCATCAGTTCAGCCACAAGAAAAAAACCAAAGAGAAAGAAAGTTGAAATATTTAATTTATTGCCGTGTGAATCTGTTTGAGTAGCTTCACAGAATCTTAACACGAACAACCTGCGGAGTTGAGATGTTGACACTAAAATGGCACAGCAGGCTACTTCACAACCCCACCCCCGTCTTTTCTTTTCCCTTCTTATCCCACTCACCCCCCAACCCCCAGATGGTTTAACTAAAAAGTCATTTAAGGCGAGCATTGTGGAGAAGGATAGGCCGGGGGCTTCTCACTCTGGGATTTGGTTCAGATTCATGGTCTACATGTCTACACTCTGACAGTGACCTCCAACATCGACCTCAAAAAATTTGTACTGTTTTCCAAACACCCTCATTTTCCCTATCCCATTATGAATCTATAATCAGTTCATTTTTCTAAAACGCTAGAGTGTTTGTTTATTTTTTTGTTTGTTTTGAGACAGTCTCGCTCTGTCACCCAAGCTGGAGTGCAGTGGGGCGATCTCAGCTCACTGCAACTTCTGCCTCCCGGGTTCAAATGAATTCTTATGTCCCAGCCTCCAAATTAGCCAGGCATGTTGGCCACACTTATAATCCTCAGCTAGGATTATAAGTGTGGCCAACATGCCTGGCTAATTTTTGTATTTTTGGTAGAGACAGGGTCTCGTCATGTTGGCCAGGCTGGTCACAAACTCCTGACCTCAAGCAATCCACCCTCCTTGGCCTCCCAAAGTACTGAGATTACAGGCTTGAGGCACTGCACTGGCCTAGAGTTATTGTTTTCTTTCTTCTTAAGCTAGGTCTGGCCATTGAGACCCTTAAGCAGCAACTGAAAGAGCAGCTTCTCTGAGAGCACCTCAGAGCCTTTTGTGATGCCCACTGCAAAGCAGGCTGAGGCTTCTGTATTGTACTGCAGGAGACTTTGCTCTTTCCTCAGCAGCATTCTCAACACCCTGTGTCTCTACTCTGTCTTGGGTGCTCCCACTGGGTTGCCCATGTGTTAAAGATTCTTGGTTAGTCAAGGAAAAGCAATAGCAGGTCAAGGAACCTGCCCCCATTGTGTTATTTCTAAACAAAGGACATATCTTGAATTAAAATGGGGTGTGGGGGACTGGAATAAAAGGGTTTCTACTAATATCTGGAGTTGGCTCTATAAGGAGTAAGATCCCAGCCATGGCCCGCCATTGCAGTGGGGATTCCACGACCTCTGTGGCCCAGGCTGTGTCTTCAGGTGAATGTAAACCCCTCCGTTAGTACACCTGTAGACAGCCTACATGCTCTGGGGTCTTAAAAACCTGAAATCAAATTTCACTTCTGCCATTTATGAGTTTCTTATTTAGGAAAGTTTATTTCTTAAAGTATCAGGTTTCTCATCTGTAATAAGGGAATTAAAATATATAACGCATATGGTTGTTGATATGGTTTGGATTTGTGTCCCTGTCCAAATCTCATGTTGAATTGTAATCCCCAATGTTGGAGAAGGGGCCTGTTGGGAGGTGACTGGGAGTCTACCCACATGATGGTAGACATCTCCCTTGCTGTTCTTGTGACAGTGAGTTCCATGAGATCTGGTTGTTTAAAGGTGCATAGCACCTCCCACCTTTGCTCTCTTTCTCCTGCTTCGGCCATGTAAGACGTTCCTCCTCCCTCTTCGCCTTCTGCCATGATTGTAAGTTTCCTGAAGCCTCTCCAGCCATGCTTCCTGTACAGCCTGCAGAACAATGAGCCAATTAAACCTCTTTTCTTTATAAATTACCCAGTCTCAGGTAGTACTTCATAGCAGTGTGAGAATGGGCTAATACAGTTGTCAGGATAAAATAAGGTAGCACAACCAGCCTACATTAAGACTGTTAGATCCCAGAACCAGAAATACCATTTGAGCCAGCAATCCCATAACTGGGTATATACACAAAGGATTATAAATCATTCTACTATAAAGACACATGCACACATATGTTTACTGCAGCACTATTTACAATAGCAAAGACTTGGAACCAACCTAAATGTCCATCAGTGATAGACTGGATAAAGAAAATGTGACATATACACCATGGAATACTATGCAGCCACAAAAAAGAATGAGTTCATGTCCTTCGCAGGGACATGGATGAATCTGAAAGCCATCATTCTCAGCAAACTAACACAGGAACAGAAAACCAAACACCACATGTTCTCACTCATAAGTGGGAGTTGAACAATGAGAACACATGGACACAGGGAAGGGAACATCACACACCAGGACATGTCAGGCAGTGGGGGGCAAGAGGAGGGAGAACATTAGGACAAACACCTAATGCATGCAAGGCTTAAAACCTAGATGATGGGTTGATAGGTGCAGCAAGCCACCATGGCACACGTATACCTATGAAACAAACCTGCATATTCTGTACATGTATCTCAGAACTTAAAGTAAATTAAATTAAATTTTAAAAAAAGAATGTTATATCCCAACCTTTCCTTTCTTCTCCCACTCCCAAAGAATAATAAAGTAAATTGTTTATGAGTCAATAAGATGAATTAGTCTGCCGTTGCTTTCCCAACTGTGGCAGAGTCAAAATGAAATAAGTAATAGGTTTTGTCGGGGAAAAGGCTAATGACATAGCCCTGCAGGTTGGGCAATCCCTGGGTCTACAGGGATTTTTAGAATAGGGGATCAGAGAACTAACGGATGACAAGATGGGACTGGAAAATGTAAGAGCAAAGAGAAAGGTATAGAAGGTAAGACGGGAGCACCCCAAAGGTAAATGTCCTCTGTGTTGCCATTTTTGCCGCATTTGCCAATTCCTTCTTAAAATTTTTATTTTATTTTTGACAAATAATAATTGTATATATTTATGGGGTACAAGATGAAGCTTTGATATACGTATACACTGTAGAATGATGATATCAAGCCAATTACCATTCTTCACATACTTGTCATTTTTTTGTAGTAAGAACATTTCAAATACATTTTTAGCAATTTTGAAATATACAATCATTATCATAACTGTAGTCACCATGCTGTACAATAGATCCCAAAAACATATTCCTCCTTTGTAACTGGATCTTTGTACTCTTTGATGAACATCTCCCGATTCCCCACGCCACATCCCATGCTAGGAGTGTGATTTCATACTCATGTCTACCTCCTTGGAGACTTTCAAAAGTACAGATGCATGAGAAAGAAAAAATACTCTGGTGGAAATATTATTGGCATTTTTAAGACAATTTAATAAGCTTTCAGTTAGTTTTCCTAGGCCAATGCATATTTTATATAGTAAATGGCAACATCTAAATCTTATAGGTTGAATTGGAATATCTATATCTGGTTTTCTCTGGAGAAAACATACGTTCGTTCATCTGTTCGAAGGACACAGCCAAACATCTTTTGAGAGTAAGTCATTTTACACTGTGGATATATGAAGTTGCACTCCCTCAGGGAACTACAGAAAACCAGAATTAACCTAAATTTATTTCCAGGAGCAATAAAGTTGATTCGAAATGGTTGAAATATACCCATTTAGTTTATATAGTCTCATTAGAGCCGTAGATTAGTTTTATAAAACATACATATTGCGCTATTTCATGTTCTCCACTTTTCCTCATCAGAAAAAGGGAGTAAGAACAAAATGAAGTGCCTCCTAAGCACTGATGAATGGTGCCTCACTGGACCCTTCATAGAGCAACCTGAAATTGGGCTGTTATGAGGAACCCATTTTCAGCCGAGGAATCTTACGTCCATAAGTAACTTGCCCAAGGTCAATAGGTTAGTAAGGTAGCATAATCAGGATTCCAGCTCTAGTCTGCTGATTCCAAAGTTCGTGATCTTTTCATTGAAGTTATCTGCTTCGCTGTGACAACAAATGAAACAACATATGGGAAAGAGAAAGTACTTAGTAGGCACTACGTCCCTAAGTCTTCCATTTCCATCTTCAAAACTGGCCCCACCGCAACGTAAAGAGCAAGGGGGTTCTAAGGGCCTCCCCTGCAAGGGTACAGAGTTGAAGAAAGGCAAGGCAGTTTCTGAGTGTAACACACACACAGTCACAAACATAAATACACAAACAATAAATAGCACACAAGATCAGATTAAAGGCTAAATGGGAAAGTAATGTTGATGCTAAAGGAGTTGAAAATATTACAGCTGCCCCTTACCAAATAGTGAGCAGATGTAGTTAGAAAACTGAAATTATGGAGGCAGAAGAGTGTTTGGGAGGAAGAGATAAAATTTGAAAGAGTTGTTCTATTTGCAGAAAACAGCAGCCTGGCTAACATATGTCAGCAGAGTGCCTTGCACATAATAGGTGCTTAACAAATATCTGTAGAATGACTTATTCAAGTTGGCCATTCTAGTAGTTATTATAGCTTGCCATGCCTACAATTAATTTGGATACAGTTGTTTTTTAATAATAAAGTTGGCTAAAATGAATACAGTCATGTGTCAGTTAACAACAGAGATGTTCTGAGAAATGTGTCATTAGGCAATTTGTGTGAACACTGTGGAGTGTACTACACAAACTTAGATGGTACAGTCTACTACACACCTAGGCTACATGGTACAGCCTACCGCTCCCAGGGTACAAACCTGTATAGCCTGCTGCTGTACTGAATACTGTAAACAATTGTAACACATTGGTATTTGTGTACTGAAACATATCTAAACATAGAAAGTGCGGCCAGGCCTGGTCACTCATGCCTGTAATCCCAGCATTTTGGGAGGCAGAGGTGGGAGGATTGCTTGAAGCAAGGAATTTGAGACCAGCCCTACCAACATAGTATAAGGCCCCATCTCTACAAAAAGTAAAAATTAGACAGGCCTGGTGACACATGCCTATGGTCCCCCCTACTTAGGAGGCTGAGGTGGGAGGATTGGTTGCGCCTGGGAGGTTGAGGCTGCAGTGAGCCGTGGTCGCGCCACTGCACTCCAGCCTGGGTGACAGAGCCAGACCACAACTCACAAAACTAAACACACAAGAAGTACTGCCACAATACTGTACTATCATCTTATGGTTAAACTGAGAGCTAACCTGATTAAGCTCACCAAATTGAACCTGCTTGCATGCTTTTAGTTGCTTACTTCTAATTGACCTTAAAATCCCCAGTGGCTTCTTTGCAGATAACACAGCCTTGACCATAGCTCACTATAGTAACATTCGCTTAAAGAAACAGCTCTTGTCCAATTCAAGTCTACAGAGACGAACTGGATCCCTGCCGGTGGGTAATCTGTGACATCAGAGAGCCAAAACTTCCACCCTTAGATCATGATAATGCCATCTTATTCTGCACATGGCTCTGTATCTGGCATTGGTTGGTTCTCGGTCTCACTGACTTCAGGAATTAAGCCACAAACCCTCGCGTGAGTGTTACAATTCTTAAAAGCAACGTGGCTACAGTTTGTTGTTTCTGATGTTTGGATGTGTTCACTGCTTCTTCCTTCTGGTTGGTTCGTGGTCTCGCTGGCTCAGGAAGGAAGCTGCAGACTTTCGTGGTGAGCGTTAAAAGCTCGTAAAGACAGTGTGGACCCAAAGAGCGAGCAGCAACAGTATTTATTACAAAAAGCAAAAAGAACAAAGCTACCACAAAGCTACCACAGAACGGAAGAGAACACGAACAAGTTGGCACTGCTAGCCCACCACCCCACCCCCGCCCGCAGCCTGCTTTTATTCTCTTATCCGGCCCCACCCACATCCTGCTGATGGGTCCATTTTACAGACAACCGATTAGTCTGTTTTACAGAGAGCTGATTGGTCCATTTTTGACAGGGTATTGATTGGTGCATTTACAATCCCTGAGCTAGACACAAAAGTTCTCCACGTCCCCAGTAGATTAGCTAGATATAGAGTGCTGATCAATATATTTACAAACCTTGAGCTAGACACAGAGTACTGATTGGTGCATTTACAAAGCTTGAGCTAGATACAGAGTGCTGATTGGTGTATTCACAATCCCTTAGCTAGATATAAAGTGGCTCCTACACGGGGCCACAGGTGGAGCTGCCTGCTACGCCCGCACTCTTTAGCCCTTGGGCGGTCGATGAGACCGGGCACCGGAGAGCAGGGGGCGGCGCTCGTTCGGGAGGCTCCGGCCGCACAGGAGCCCACGGCAAGGGGTGGGCTGGGACGCAGGCATGGCGGGGTGCGGGTCCCGAGCCCTAGTCCCTGGGGTAGCAGCTAAGGCGCCTGGAGAAATCGAGCGCAGCGCCTTTGGGTCGGTACTGCTGTGGGACCCAAAGCACCCTCCGCAGCTGCTGGCTCAGGTGCTAAGCCCCTCACTGCCTAGGGACGGCAGAGCCAGTGGGCAGGGCCGGCCGGCGGCTCCCTGTGGGGCCCAAGCCCACGCACACCGGGAGCTTTAGCTGGCCCGCAAACGCCGCGGAAGCCCCGGTTCCCGCCACACTTCCCTGCAGGCTGAGGGAGCCGGCTCCAGCCTCAGCCATCCCAGGGTAAGGGACACCCACAGTGCAGTGGTGGGCTTAAGGGCTCAAGCGCGGCCAAAGTGGGCGCCCAGGCCGAGGAGGCGCCAAGAGCAAGCGAGGGCTCAGGACTGCGAGCATGCTGTCACCTTTCAGTTTCTATGATAAACCATGCACCCTGACTTCGCTTGGGTAGAAATCCTGATTGCATCACCTTTCCCCACATTTCAGACTACTTACTCTCCCCATAAGCACTCTCAAGCCCATTTTAGGTTAGTAGAGTTTAATTTTGTTTTTCCATCTCCGCACAGCAGTCTCATGAATAACATCTTTTTTCTTTAGCAAAAACCGGTTGTGTAACTGCCGGCGGGTTCGTGCTTTCTCTAACTTCAAAAAGCCGCGGACCTTCACAGTAAGTGTTACAGCTCTATGAAAAGGTGGCAGAGACCCAAAGAGTGAGCAGGAGCAAGATTTATTGTGAAGAGTGAAAAAACAAAGCTACCGCAGCTGCAGAAAGGGAGCTGAGCAAGTTATCCCTGTTGGCTGGGGGGTGGCCAGCTTTAATTACCTTATTTGTCCCCTCCCATGTTCCACTTATGTCCTATCAGAGTGCCCTTTTTTAATCCTCCCCGCGATTGGCTACTTTTAGACTCTTGCTGATTGGTGCGTTTTACAGAGCGTTGATTGGTGCTTTTTACACAGCACTGATTGGTGCATTTTACAATGCCCTTGCTAGTTACAGAGTGCTGATTGGTTCTTTTTACAATCCTAGGTACAGGGTGTTGATTGGTGCGTTTTACAATCCTCTTGCAAGACAGAAAAGTTCTCCAAGTTTCCACTGGACCCAGGAAGTCCAGCTGGCTTCACCTCTCACCATGGCCACATTGGCTCCTAGCATGCAGGCAGAACGAATCTGTTCACTAACAATGGGACTACTGCTACAAACATGGTCCATCATTCACTGAGTCACTGTTTTGTGGCACATTACTGTACATACTGCTGTGGCCTAAGTAAGTCAACCAAACAAAATAGCAGGCTAAACCTGTCAGTCAAAATGTGGGGCATTCCTGGGGCAGGCCCCCTGCAGCAGATAGTCTGGGACTTACTGAAGTGTTATTCAGAGTCTTGTTACTCAACCCACCGAAGAAGGGAGGTGAATGTGAAAAATAATCTGTAGATCTTCACAATGTCTCTAGGGCTTGGATCTGGGAATTGACGTTGTAGAAGAGGCTGACCTCCAAAAAGACAAGATTTCTTATGTCCACTCCTTTTCTAAGTCAAAGCTTATGAACAAATTGGAACACAAGTGATTGTGAACCACTACTGTCACCCGTCTTTTTGCAAAACTTATTTTTTGAGCCCAAGAGATTCTTCCCAGGCATGTTTTTCCTCTTAAATTAAAAAAAAAAAAAAAAAAAAAAAAAAAACTGTTCTGTAGGAAATCTAATCCATATGTTTGTTTCCTTTAGTCATCAAACTGATGCCTGGTTAATGGGAGTTCATGACCAAATACTTTTCCATTAAAACAGGAAATTATTTTTTGTTCACCGTAAACAAATTAAAACTCCAGAGATGTTTGAATCTCCTTTGAAGTGTGCTGCCCTTAAGCTTTTTCTTCTTTTTTTTTTTCTTTTTTTTGAGACGAAGTCTTGCTCTTGTCCCCTAGGCTAGAGTGCAATGGCGCCATCTCGGCTCAGTGCAACCTCTGCCTCCTGGGGCTCAAACAATTCTCCTGCCTCAGCCTACCTAGTAGCTGGGATTACAGGCATGCGCCACCACACCAGGCTAATTTTTGCATTTTTTAGTAGAGACGGGGTTTCACCATGTTGGCCAGGCTGGTCTCTAACTCCTGACTTCAAGTGATCCCCACGCTTCGGCTTCCCAAAGTGCTGGGATTACAGGCACCCAGCTAAACTTCAAGAGCGATCTAAACTAAAATAAGCATTTCCTAAGCCATGCTTTCAATCTCATGCTTGGCTTTTAGAGCTCCTTGTTATATACAAGCCATATACTGAGCATCAGGAACAAAAGGTAATACTGAAGCCACAAGAAAATTAGTCAACCTTGTTCGTCTTGTTAATTAACTCTTTAAAATCCTACAGAGCAATTTGAGGACTAGCTGTTCATGCCATTCATGAAAACTGATTGAAACCTTTACCACCACCTAGAGGTCATTAAACTGTACTGCAAAAACAAGAAAAAATGTTACTAAAGTGGCGCTGTAAATTCTCAGGCATTTTATGATTTTTCCATTACCACACCAAACTTACATAATACTGGATCCTTGGGAGAAGTAAATGATCTTCATAAAAGAGGCACTTTTTAAACTCCCAAACATAGAGTAAGTCAAGGAATGGGAAAGAACAGCTGGGAAAACAGGTTGTTTCAAGAATATCCCTTCCTTGAGCTAAAACTGCCACTTCCTGTACCAGCAACTAGATTTCGAAGATGCACATTCAACACCTGCTCCAGAGAGGCAGCCATCAATGCCGCCATCTTGCTTTCTAGGGGAGAAAGGTTTGGGAGACAAACAGAAGTGAATATGCCGCGATCCAACCTTTCAATGCCTGTAGAATTTTGGCGCACCATTCTTTTTATCTTGAACCTAGAATCCTGGCTCATTCTTGATATATTTAGGTAAGACCAGAGTGAGTCAGAAGATGCAAAGTTAATGTCTCCCATGATTTCATTCCCTATGGAAAAAAAAACTTAGAAAACATATCAAAAACTTTCCATCGGAGACTGAGAGAAAAATAAAAAGGAAAAAAATGAACAAAAGATCTCTTTTTCTTCCATGTGTTATTTTAGAGAATTATATTTAGACTTTGCCTCTGAGTAAGAATCTCAGTCTGTTTTGTGTCTGCAAAGTTGTCCGTTTTGACTAGGGTTGCTAGTGACTCTGAAACCACCTTGGGTCTACACTGGATTTCTGTGGCCTTCTATTCCATGACACTTGGAGAAAAAAGGTTAGTTATGAGCCATTGGATACCAAGAGCCCTCCCACAATCAAATGGACTTTCTGGTTTTGGAATTGATCTCTTTCTGCCTTGGGTTTTAGAGCCCATGGCCAATGCAGCCAACTGTTATCTAGTCTGTAGGGAATCTCACAAATCCACAGCTACTTAATAAACGATCCTCACAGGGCTAAATCATTACAGTGCCACCTCGTGGTCCAGCCTCTTGAGAGGTAACAGGCCACTGTGAGTACAATGGTGTGCCCATGGGCCACTGCCGAGAATGAGGAAGGGGAGGGCCCTGTGTGTGAAGTCATGAAATGACTGCTCTACAGCCAGTGTCATTTGAGGCTTGTGAGCAAAATTAACAAGTAGATGTCAAGAACTAGCCTTCTTCCCAATTGAATGATTTCAAAATGAACTTGCTACAGGTGGCTTTCACTGCATGCAATGGGAAAGTGTGCATGTTTACCAGGTTTGCCCACTTTTGTGTCTGGGACTGTGGTAGGGTATCGAATAGTCTTCTGTGGCTAGAAGCTCTCTCCTTTTATAGCAATGCCAGGAGCATAGTTGGCTCCAGAGATCTCGGATCATTTCAGCTTTCTGCTCAAGAAAATTGCCCCACACCCAACTTACTTATTTGAAACTCAACGACAATAAAGTTTACTGAGACATTCTGCCAATAATTAACTGCCTTGGGGCCCAGGGTATTTAGATCAGGGTTCAGCAACCTTCTTTCATTTAAGGGAGGCCTTTTAGACCTCCTTGGATGAAAGCAATGAGAGTTCTCCATGGAAAGAATTGGTGTGCTTTAGAAACAAAAGCCCAAAGCAACAGATGAGTGGGCTTGAGGCATCTCTTTTAAATTAATTGAAATGAGAATGGCAAGAAAAAAGCAATGGAAGAGTTGTGGACGTGTTATATTATATATTTGCCATAAAGCCTCTTTCAGTAACACCCACGATAACGGGGGAAAAGACAGTGTCACTGGGATCTCCATTGGATGAGGATTGCACGGACTGAGTTGGAATCGTGCTAAGGTGAGAGTCTCTGGAGTTCCACTTGGTGGTTCTACACCTAGATAGGGACCATAATCAAAAGAGTGCTATGCAAAGACTCATACTCAGAGATGTCTCCTAAACCATGGATAAGCCAAGAAGAGCACTGAAAGTCACGAGTTAAACCAAGAGCGGGTTGTCTGACCAAACTTTGCAACCCCTAGGGGAAGTCAGAAGGGGAAAAGGAGGAGAGAGCTGGGCCCCCAAGAATCTACTGCCCCGGTACCAATTTCAAGATGCATCCTCCTACTAAAAAGGGCCATCTAGACTGTATGTTTTCCATTAAGAAAACTGCAACTCACAATCTATTTAAATTACAATGCAAAAGTGAGGCCCCAGGACTAAAATGTGAATTTGAGAGGCTTAGATCTAGTAAAGTGGTTTCCATCAGAAATGGCTGAGAAATGTGACTTTTGTTTGTTTATTTGTTTAGATTTTAGGATAGGAAGAAGCAGAAATAAAAACTCTTTAAACGTATTTTAGATTTTGTGATATGAAGACCTGGTATTTCTCTAGAGTTTCAAATGGAGTGTTTAGTCTTCTATGATGATGGTGATTGGTGTGGTCAAGATTATTATAACTAATTACAACCATTTGTAGGGAATGTTAAGCACTTCATAAAGCACTGGATTCATGGGTTTTGTGGTATACCCTTTTCTAAAGAATTTGGTTTTTTCATCTTATGCTATCACAGACACTCCTTAAAAATATGCAGTCAAAAATACTATTTATATGTGCGGAAACCAAAACATCCATTGTTAAATGAGAGATCTCGGGGCATCCAGGGTGTCGTTTGACCAGGGACATTGTCTCCTGACTCTTGTCCTGTTATAGTCACCACTGAATAAAGATCTCTCCCCACCCTGCCCCTTCCTGCAGTTGCCTGTTAATGGCACCTAGCTTTCCTGTGCAATTTTAATCATGCTTGCTTGGGCCTCCACTACCCTTACATTAGTGAAATGGCCTGGTCTTGAGCTTGTAGGAGGCAGTGACATCACTGGGTAGAGGGAAGCACAATCTGTATCTACATGTTCCTCTATCGTTGAAAAGACTAGATTCCCTAACAGTTCTTCCATTCATAGCATTTAACTGTCCTTTCTAAAAGATCACCTTTCACCTTCCCACCACAGAAACTGCAAAGAGTTATAAACTCTTTAAGTTTAAAAAGTTGATATTAAAGAACAAGTCCTTGTTTTAGAATTAAAGTTCTCAGCTTGAAGGCTGTCCTATCTTCCCTGTAGCCCAAAGTGTATACTCTTGGCCAGCAAAGGTGACCCACTAGCCACTGTTGTGGTAGAATTTTCCCAACAGGTACTAAAACCTGTGAAGTCAAAGAAAAGTGTGGGCCTGGTGCAGTGGCACATGCCTGTAATCCCAGCACTTTGGGAGGCCTAGGCAGGTGACCACGAGGTCAAGAGATCGAGACCATCCTGGCCAACATGCTGACACCCCGTCTCTACTAAAAATACAAAAATTACCTGGGCGTGGTGGAGCGCACCTGTAGTCCCAGCTACTCGGGAGGCTGAGGCAGGAGAATCGCTTGAACCCAGGAGGTGGAGGTTGCAGTCAGCGAGATCGTGCCG
This sequence comes from Homo sapiens, assembly GCF_000001405.40. NCBI lineage: Eukaryota > Metazoa > Chordata > Mammalia > Primates > Hominidae > Homo > Homo sapiens. The sequence continues at coordinate 16,186,718 of NC_000006.12, forward strand.
CTGCACTGCGGTCTGGCAAAAGAGCGAGACTGCACCTCAAAAAAAAAGTGCGACTACTCTGCCAGCTCCCCATGCATTTGCTAGCTAATAACAATTAAAAATTGAATTGAATTGAGTTGAATTGCACTAAATTGAAATGTCTTGAATGATGGCTGATTCGTGCTTGGGTAACAAATGTTTACTCATTTATTCATGCAAGAAAATCCTGCCATCATGAAGCTCATGGTCAAACAAATGTCTTTCAGAAAAGATTCCCAAGGGCACAGTGGGGATGGAGAAAAGCATTAGGAAATCTAAAAAATATAGAGCCCATACTTGCCAAATAAATACGACAAGGTCAACCTTATCATAGCAATAGAGGAGGAAGTATATTAGAAGCAATGAAAAAATTACACCTAAAATATGGCAACTTGAAATTTTTTAGGTTTTACTTACGGAGGCTTACATTTCTGTGCAACTAAAAGATTTCAAAAAAGGGACACATCGGAGGGATCTTAGGGACATGCTTAAACATAATGAAGATTTTGGAATCAAAGCATGTGTTGCAGAGTAGGCTGTTCATTTTGGTTTGGGCTGGAATTATTTCCAGGAACACAGATCGGCTAAGTTCATAAAACAAAAGCTCCAGTTCCAACAGTATGGACTTTGAGCAGATTTCACTACTCAGACCAGAACATAAACTTGAAAGGAAACAAACAAGGCTCTATGTCCAACTCAAAGCTTTCCAGGGACAGGCCACTGGTGCTCAGATAAGTCTGGGTGGGAAACTGGGGTAGCCTAGCCAGAAGTATTTTGTACACCTTCCCAAAGAGGAATTAGCTGTCCTTCTGCCCTCAACCCATCAGCTTGATTAGGGGCCTTTGGCAAGATGTACTGAATCCTGGCACCATCAAGAAGCCCAAAGGAACAACTGCTCACTTGGTACAGATGGCAGAAAGAAAGATGGGATGGGAGATCTGCTTTGATGCTCCACTGATTTTCTCCAGCAGAATTTCTGCGGCATTTGAGACAAAACACCTTCCCTTTTGCTTGGTTTGAGTAATGTCAGTTTCTGTGGGTCTGAGTTATTTACTTAATATGGAAAAGTGGGAGAAGTGTCCCTGTATAATCTTAGAATGTCTGGAAACTCAAGGATAGAGACAAATTAAGCCCTAAAGTTCTTAGGCATTGAATCCTAGGGTCTGGAAATCACTTCGGCTCTTTATAGAGACAGTGAACGGCAGTTAATACACTGCCCTCTGTACAAACTAGGAACATTCAGACCCAACGAACAAACTCAGTAGATATGTGATGAATGAATGAATACTCAGACTTTATTTGAGAGAAATCAGTCAACATCATAAGCTCTCAATGGGTCTTTCAGGGCATGTTTTGGTCCTTTCTCTTCTTTAAGCATCGTAGATAACAAATCTTAGCTGAACTTGTCTTATCCCAGGACAACAGTGAAATGAGCCAAAAGTAGGAGTGCCAGGTCTAGATCAGCTACAAAGTGAATAAAGAGCCCAGCCACTATTAAATGTTGGTCAAAGTTTGGCAACATGGTTGAGCTCTTCTGAGAAACAGAGATAGTTTAATGACCAGACTCCTGGGGCCAAGAACCAGGAGAAGGAAGCCATGTTCCCTCGGCTCAACCAAACACATTTGCACTGTTTCCTCCAGCAACAATGTGCCTCTTCTCATCTTGATTTCTTCACTCTTGCTATCCCAAACTCTTGAAATGCCCTCATATAAAACCCCCACCTGTTGAAACCCGGCTTGTGCTTCCTCGTCCAGCTGAACTCAGAAGGTACCTCCTTCATGAGCCCTTTTCAGTCTGAAGTAATTTCTCCTTCTTTTGAGCCTCTATAGTGCCTTTGTATCTCAGGGTACTTAGATAATTCTTTGCAACAATATTATTAGTAAGCTTGTCTTATCCATCCTACTAGAGGGATTATAAGCTTCTGGAGAAAAAAGGACTAGTATTTGTAATACTAATACACATGCATACATATACACACTAGATACATACACACACAGTATATACACACAAACGTTATATATATGGTATGTATGTATATATACAGATACATCATATGATGTATATGGTATGTATGTATATATACAGATACATCATATGATGTATACGGTATATATGTATATACACATGTCATATGATGTATATGGTATACATGTATATATACACATGTCATATGATGCATATGATATATATGTATATATACACATATATCATATGATGTATATGGTATATGTGTATATATACATATTTATCATATGATGTATGTAATTTAGTGTATATATTACATTTAGTAGTAGTAATATTATAGTGATTCTAATCTCCCTGGCCTGCTACAGTCTCAGGAACACAATGGATGTCAATGGACATTAGTTCAGTAAACTAAGTGCCAACACTTGGCACAGAAAAATGCCCTATAGAAGGGCTCATTCACCTTTCCTCTAAGAACTTTTTGGTCACCTACTCATGTAATCAAGATGTCAGCAGGGTCTTCCTGCCCTCAGAGATTTGATCAACTTGGCCTAAACTCTAATTGTCTGGCTAGGATAAGCTGATGCCTTTCCCATGATTTATGTAAAACTCTTGCACACACCTTGTTTCCTCCTGCCTGTCTCAGCCTCAGCACTCTCAGCTCCCAGCTGCCACTGTGTTGCATCGCCTTAAACAGCTTGCTGGCCAGGCATGGTGGCTCCCAAAGTGGTGGAATTCCAGCACTTTGAGAGGTCAAGGCAGGCGGATCCCTTGAGCCTAGGAATTTGAGACCAGGCTGGGAAACATGGTGAAATCCCACCTCTCCAAACAAACCAACAAAAAAATTACCCAGGCATGGTGGTGCGTGCCTGTGGTCCCAGCTACTCAGGAGGCTAAGGTGGGAGGATGTTTTGAGCCTAGGAGGTGGAGGTTGCAGTGAGCCAAGATTACTCCACTGCTGCACTCCAGCCTGGATGACAGAGTGAGACCCTGTCTCCAAAAACAAACAAACAAATAACAACAACAACAACAAAAAACACATGCCAAGCTGCCTCTTCTCTTGTTTTAGCAGAAGTTCAACCACAGCAAGCATCTCTGATTGTTTTGTAGACTTGATCCCTGTGGTAGCACAGGAGTGTTCAGATAGGTTCAGGCGCCTCTACCACTCACTCTTCCCCTCCCCTCATTATTCCAGAGTTCTAAATAAGTCTCTTCTCCCTGCCTTATACAGGCAACTATGCCCATGCCATACCAGGTCCCTTGGGGTTTACATCTACTGCTTCAAATGGCTTATTAAAGTATTTCTTCCAGACCCAGACAATATCTGCTCAAGAATTCTGGAACATATTTGCTCCCTTCTTTGCCTGACAATCTGCCATTGTATTGAACCATAATATAAGAAGCCCATTTAGGGACTCTCTGGTTTTCCACATTCCTAGAGCCAGACTGTACCGAGTATTAATCTTTTTAGCTTTTTCACCTCAGTATTCCTGGTTTCCAATTCTTAGCTCCTAGATCTCATGCATTCATTCTTTCATTTATCTGAGAACCTATTATACTATGGACCATGAACTTATTTTACAAAAACAATTAAGACAAATCTCTTGTATTCAGGGACCTGGTTAAAATTAAGTCTGACTTACCTATTTGCTCAGCTGCTCCAAGGGAAATAGTTCCAGGTGTTACCTGTTATGCTAAGAGGAAGCTGCCCCTTACAACAACCTGAGACTCAGTGACCAAGGTACAAATTCCTATAATTTTAATAGAAACTTGGCCAGGCTGTGGTTTCAGTTTCTTAGATTAGCAGAGGGAATTAGTAATACAATTAAACTTAAGACTAACTGAATGGCAGACCAAAAGAAATAGCTGAAAGCCAGAGTAACTAGCCGAAGGATGAAGAATGGGTTAATTTATCCAGTCATTTTGGAACAGATGAGGACACTCTGAAAATAGCCTTCCTTTTATAACATTTGGAAATGTTCTTGTTAAGACCAAATATTTCTCTTCCTTGAATATAAATACCTTCCTTTAAATATCCTTGAAACGTCTGATGAACGTCTAGAGTTAAAACACTATGTACTTTCATTAATTATCAAAGAAGGAGCCAAATATTTTGAAATGCTTGTAATACTTTAATGCAGCCATATCAAGATCAAATCTATTTTCTGACTTATTGAATTGTAGAAAAAGAGAACTAGCTGTATTAAAAATAGAGTGGCTTGTGCTGACTCCGTAAGGGAAAATATGAAAGGGAGTTAATAGTTATTAAGTATTCCTATGTACCAAGTGCTATGCTGGTCATTTTATGTGGTGTTCTATTATCCCATTATCCACATATCCCTGGGGGAAATCTCCTTAAAGTAGATATTGTATTTTTGTTCCCACTTTACAGATAAGGAGATGGAAGTGAAGAGTGGAACCAAACCTGTGACTGCAAAGCTTGTTCTCTTTAACGATGGTTCATTTTCAACAGGGTATTTATTTGTCTCCTTATAGAATTCATGTGTGAAATCATGACTATCCCCTACCTTTGCAGAATTCCAAAGATACTTTGTCTACAAATTATTAACCTGTAACTCACAATTTCACAGGTAGTTTTATTTGTATGAGGATTATAGTTAGGACACATTAATTTGTAGGAGAAAAATATATTCCTCGTATTTTTTAGGGAGGTATAGTCAGAGGGTTGTGGAACTGTGGATGGGCTGTTTACAGTCCTTTTATTTATTTATTTATTTATTTATTATTATTATACTTTAAGTTTTAGGATACATGTGCACAACGTGCAGGTTTGTTACATATGTATACATGTGCCATGTTGGTGTGCTGCACCCATTAACTCGTCATTTAGCATTAGATATATCTCCCAATGCTATCCCTCCCCCCTCCCCCCACCCCACAACAGTCCCCGGTGTGTGATGTTCCCCTTCCTGTGTACAGTCCTTTTTTTGTCTGAACTTATCACATTTTGTGTTAAACAACACTAACCTAGCAGCTGATAAAATCTGATGCTTTAAAACTCAAAGGGATTCTAGAGGTTGTCTAGTCTGGTATTCCTCATGTGTTGGTCTGTACACAGGCTACATGAGAATTATTTGGTTAGTGATTTCCAAATACAGATTCCTGGGGCCCTCTCTGGGCCTTCTTTACAAAAGCTTAAAGGCAGGACACTGGGAATCTTAATTTTAAGGTTTCTAAATTGATTATTGGGCATAGCCTGGTTTTGCTACCTCTTATCCAAGACCATCTCTAACTCAGTGGAGGAATCCTGTCCTACACACCTCTGACCTGTAAGCAGGCAAGGCAGTCTCATCAGGGACACACACAGGAACAATCTTGGAGAAAGTGTGTTTTTTTGTTTTGTTTTGTTTTTTTGGAGACAGGGTCTCACTCTGTCACCCAGGCAGGGGTGCAGTGGTGCAATCTCAGCTCACTGCAACCTCCGCCTCCTGAGTTCAAGCAATTCTCCTGTCTCAGCCTCACAGGTAGCTAGGACCACAGGCGTGCACCACCATGCCTGGCTAATTTTTTGTATTTTTAATAGAGACGGGCGATCTCACTATGTTGCCCAGGCTGGTCTTGAACTGCTGAGCTCAGGCAATCCGCCCACCTCGGCTTCCCAAAGTGCTAGGATTATAGGGATAAGCTACCACACCCAGCTGGAGAAAGTGTGTTTTAATGGGGTAATAATATATTTCATTTTATTTATTTTTTGAAGAGAGAAGATCCCACTATGTTGCCCAGGCTGATCTTGAACACTTGGGCTCAAGTGATCCTCCCTCCCCAGCCTCCTGAGTAGCTGGGATTACGAGCATGAGCCAGTGCACTCAGCTGCTGGGATAACACTAGGTTTAAAAATCCTTTCTGGCTGGGCGCGGTGGTTCATGCCTGTAATCTCAGCACTTTGGGAGGCTGAGGCAGGCGAATCACGAGGTCAGGAGAGCGAGACCATCCTGGCTAACAAGGTGAAACCCCATCTCTACTAAAAATACAAAAAATTAGCCAGGTGCAGTGGCCCACATCTGTAATCCCAGCACTTTGGGAGGCCGAGGTGGGCGGATCACGAGGTCAGGAGATTGAGACTATCCTGGCTAACACGGTGAAACCCTGTCTCTACTAAAAATACAAAAAAATTAGCCGGGCATGGTGGTAGGTGCCTGTCGTCCCAGGTACTCGGGAGGCTGAGGCAGGAAAATGGTGTGAACCCGGGAGGCAGAGCTTGCAGTGAGCCGAGATCGCGCCACTGCACTCCAGCCTGGGTGACAGAACGAGACTCTGTCTCAAAAAAAACAAGCAAAAACAAACATTTTATTTAGAAATAATTTTAAATTTATAACAGACTGTCAAGGATTCTATAGAGAACTCCCCTATTCCCTTTACCCAAATTCACCATATCCATTTTTAACATTTTGACACACTTGAGCTCTTGTGTGTGCATGCACTCTCTCCTCACTCTCTCTGTCTGCACAGACACACACATTAAGTTTTTCTGGGTCATTTAAAAGTACTTTGCAGACTTCATGACCCTTTACTCCTCAGCGTATATTTTTTCAGTGTATATTTTCTAAGAACAAGAAAGTAATAAAATTCAGATAACTTAATATTGACATAATACCTTAATCTATAATCTTATGCCAAATTTACCAATTGTCCTAATAATATCCTTTAAAGCAGTTTTTGGTACATTATCCAGTCCAATAACACACTGATGTCCTAATAATTGTCCTAATAATATCCTTTAAAGCAGTTTTTGGTACATTATCCAGTCCAATAACACACTGATGTTCCTTAGAGGCTCTAGGGAACAAATGCATTATTTCGAAAACGTTTCATTGTCACAAATTACTTTATTTTTAATGTGGGCTTTGAATAGTTTATTCTAGAACCAACCACCCCATTCCTCTTAAAGAGATCAGCCTAGTCTTGAAAAGTCCAGGTTTGTGAAGACACATTTCCTTACCCATTCTCTGAAGTGTCAAGTTCCTATTTCAAACACATACACACAAAAAAAATTCAGAGGAAAATATTTGGAAATGTTCCTATTTGTTGTGTGCCCGTGGCCTAGGAGGTGACAAGAAACAAAATTGTTCCCTGCTTCTCTGTCAAAATCCTGGCATGTAGACCCTCTGTTTTCTCAATTCGTTATAGAATTTCAACTGCTGAATGAGCATTCTTTAACCTGAGCTGACCATTTGGAATTTAAAATTAGCAGAGTAATTATATTTACTGGGCCACTGATTCAAGGGAAATTGAGCTCAGCTGATGAATTTGCATGTCGTGAAATGGGTCATGACAGCAGATGGTCTTCCAAGAAGCAAAAAATAACTTTGAAGTTGGTTGCTCTTTCTCCTTGACTTCTTCCATTGAACCCCGCTGCAATAATGTGAATGCTGAAAGCAGGTCAAGTGAATTTGGGATGTCTGGATGGATAATCAAGGAGAGTTGTTAGTTGTCAAAGAAGAATATTTTGATCTTAAAATCAATCACCATATATCGAGATCTGATTATAAAGCTAATGCTGTGTTCAATCACCATCATCATTAACATTTATTAAGCGCTCGCTTGCACAGGTGCTATTCTAAATGCTTTACATGTATTGACTTGTTTAATCTGCACCAAAACCTATAAGCAAGGATTATTATCATCTGCATTTTACAAATGAGAAAATTGAAAGTAAGAAAATAAATTGACCAAGTTCAAATAAGGTGTTTTGGTTTTTGCTTTTTGTCATATGAAATAAGTGAAGCCTGAGGAGATTTTGTCTATATTAAACTCAGAAATGTCATATTTAGATTGTGGTTTCTAAATACCATTTCCCACTAAAAGAAACCAGGGCACTTTGGAGAAATGGCTGATTTGATATCTGGAGCTGGAAATGTACAAGATGAGCATAGAACATCTTGTCATACCACATGGCAGGAAAATGACTGGGATCGTTTTTTAAGGCTGAAGAGCTCTTATTGAGCAAAGAGGAACAAATTTGAGCATCAATAAAGAGAAGAATTAAAATGGATGTAAACAAATAGAAAATATTTGTTGAAACACATGGACTGTATTTAAATCCATTGGTTTATAATAACACTGAAACAGAAACACATTTGGTATTCTTTAGAGGCTCTAGGGAACCGATGCACTATTTTGAAAACTGATCAATAGGGAGAAAGAATCAAGCATTTTTTTCTTTCATTTTTTATATGAACTGTATCTCAGTGTAACCAAATATTTAACAAGGGCAAGTTTCTTTTTACATAAGTAATCTACCCAACAAATGAAGAAGAAATAATTAAAATATCACTATTTGAATCATTAAGGAATTAATGTTTCTCAGCAATGATCAACAATGGCTGGTAACATTTAGAAAGTGACATTTTATGATTCTTGATGGAAGTATTCCACACTACCTATATAATAGTCTTGCAAAAAAAAAAAAAATCTGTTCAAGCACCTGTATCTAACAGAAAATACAGAGGACAGAGGAGCATGTTAAGCAACACTGTGGGGATGAAATCAGAAAAATCCACACTATGAGAAACTCAGGACAAAGGGTCTATTTCTTCTATACAACAACAATCACAAGAATGAAAGACAAATGTAAGGAGGGAGAATATTTACATTAAAAGAGACTTGAGGATTGGGCATGATGACTCACACCTGTAATCCTAACACTTTGGGAGGCTGAGGTGGGAGGATCTCTTGAGCCCAGGAGTTGAAGACCAGCCTGGGGAACATAGCGTGACCCTATTTAAATATTTTAAAAAGAGAGAGAAACTTAAGAACTTATTATTAGCCAACAGTAATATATAGAGCTTTGTGGATCCTATTTCAAATGCACTTTAAAACAAAAAACAACAAAGCAAATTAGAACCAGAACATTTATAGATAATCAGGAAAATAGGAACATGGATATTAAAGAATTAGAATTACAATTTGGGGGATAAGATGATGATGTAATTACATTTAAAATAGAGTCTTCAGAGATACATACTAAAATATTTCAAATAAAATTATATGGTGTCTAAGGGTTGCTTCAAAATAATTGGGAGAAGCCAGGTACAGTGACCCAAGCTTGAAGTTTCAACTACTCAGGAGGCTGAAGCAGGGGAGACTGCTTGAGCCCAGGAGTTTAAGTACAGCCTAGGCAACTTAGTGAAACCATGCCTCTAAAAAAAAAATAAAAATAAAAATAATTGGGAGTGACTGGGGAAATGCATGGGGATATAAAGAAAAAAATAACTAATAACCATTACTGAGCTGGATGATAAGTATGTGGAGTTCATTATATTATTCTCTCCACTTTCACATATATTTGAAATATTCCATATAAAAAATGTTTTAATATGGTTCACACATCCAGAAATGCAAGTTTATTTGTGGCTGTATGATATAATGCAATGTTTCTTAAAATACATTCTTTGCAACATTAGTTCCAAATAATAGACTGGTTCCCATTAATAGATTTCCTTCATATAACAGATTCTGAGATTAGATTAGAAAATGCTAAAGTAGGCAGCAAAACGGCTGAATAGAAGGTTCTGGGCCAGGTGCACTGGCTCACATCTGTAATCCCAACACTTTGGGAGGCTGAGGCAGCCAGATCACCTGAGGTTGGGAGTTCGAGACCAGCCTGACCAACATGGAGAAACCCCATCTCTACTAAAAATACAAAATTAGCCAGGCGTGGTGGTGCATGCCTGTAATCCCAGCTACTTGGTAAGCTGAGGCAGAATAGCTTGAACCCCGGAGGTGGAGGTTGTGGTGAGCCGAGATTGCGTCATTGCACTCCAGCCTGGGCAACAGAAACTCCATCTCAAAAAAAATTTTCACCAGTTGTCTCCCAAGAACATCAAACTTAATAACTACACAAAAAAACACCTTCATAATAACCAAAAATCAGAAAAGCACCCCCAGTATGTGGTTTTAACTTATGAAAGAGCTACTGAAGAGAGTCTTGAATTGCTGACGCCTCTCCCTCATACCATAGTAGTTGTGTAGCCCATGGAGAGAATCTATGTGCTCAGGAAGAGGGAGAGCACAGCGATTGTTACACTTTGCTTTGAACTCAGTGCTGCCCTGTCACAGTAGAAAACAAAAGCGGGCTGAACCAAGCCGAGGCCGCTCCACAGAGAAAGCATTTAGACCACCCCTAGCCAAAGGGAAATCAGAATCGCCCATCCCAGCAGTTCAGAATTGAGTTCTGATGTGTCCGGAATTGATGGGTTGTCTCACTGACTTCAAGGAAAAAGCCGCAGATCTCCGTGGTGGGTGCTAAAATTCTTAAAGGTGGTGTGTCTGGAGTATGTTCCTTTTCATGTTCAGACGTGTGCAGTTTACGGGGGTGGGGAGGTTCTAGGTCTCGCTGGCTCAGGAGTGAACCTGCAGACCTTCACGGTGAGTGTTAGAGCTCCTAAGGTGGCGCAGCTGGAGTTGTTTGTTTCTACCCGTGAGTTCGTGATATTATTAGCTTCAACAAAGAAGCTGCAGACCTTCATGGTGAGTGTTAGGGCTCATAAATGCAACGTAGACCCAAACAGTGAGCAGTAGCAAGATTTATTGCAAAGAATGAAAGAACAAAGCTCCCACTGTGGGGAAAGGAACCCAAACACGTTGCCACTGCTGTTTCTGGCAGCCTGCTTTTATTCTCTTATGTGGCCCCACCCACATAAGAGAGGGCGCTAAGCCCCTCACTGCCCGGGGTGGCAGAGCAGGCTGGCTGCTCCCAGTGCGGGGCGGTGGGGGGGGCGCAGTGGGGCGGGGGGGGGGCACGCCCACCCGGAACTCTAGCTGATTGGTCCACTTTACAGACAGTCGATTGGTCTGTTTTACAGAGAGCTGATAGGTCCGTTTTGACAGGGTGCTGATTGGTGAGTTTACAATCCCTGAGCTAGACACAAAAGTTCTCCACATCCCCACTAGATTAGCTAGATACAGAGTGCTGATTGGTGTATTCACAATCCCTTAGCTAGACATAAAGATTCTCCAAGTCCCTACCAGATTAACTAGATACAGAGTGCCAATTGGTGCATCCACAAACCCTGAGCTAGACACAGGGTGCTGACTGGTGTGTTTACAAACTTTGAGCTAGATACAGAGTGCTGATTGGTGTATTCACAATCCCTTAGCTAGACATAAAGATTCTCCAAGTCCCCACCAGATTAGCTAGATACAGAGTGCCAATTGGTGTATCCACACACCCTGAGGTGGACACAGGGTGCTGATTGGTGTGTTTACAAACCTTGAGCTAGATACAGAGTGCTGATTGGTGTATTTATGAGCCCTTAGCTAGACATAAAGGTTCTCCAAATCCCCACCGGACTAAAGAGCCCAGCTGGCTTCACCCAGTGGATCTCGCACCGGGGCCCCCGGTGGAGCTGCTCTGCCGGTCCCGCGCCCTAGGCCCATACTTCTCACCCCTTGGGCGGTCGATGGGACCGGGCGCCGTGGAGCAGGAGGCGGCGCTCGTCGGGGAGGTTCAGGCCGCACAGGAGCCCAAGGCGGGGGTCGGAGACTCAGGCATGGCGGGGTGTAGGTCCCGAGCCCTGCCCCGCGGGGAGGCAGCTAAGGCTCGGCGAGAAATCGAGTGCAGCGCCAGCGGGCCAGCATTTCTAGGGAACCCAGCGCACTCCCCGCAGCTGTTGGCTCAGGTGCACTGCCCGGGGCTGGTGGGGCGGGCCGGCTGCTCCCAGTGCGGGCCCGCCAAGCCCACGCCCACCCGGAAATCTAGCTGGCCTGCAAGCGCCCTGCGCAGCCCCGGTTCCCACCCTTGCCTGTCTCCCCACACCTCCCCACAGGCTGAGGGAGCCGGCTCTGGCCTCGGCTATCCCAGGAAAGGGTTCCCACAGCGCAGCGGTGGGCTGAAGGGCTCCTCAAGCGCGGCCAGAGTGGGCGTCGAGGCCGAGGAGGCGCCAAGAGCGAGCGAGGGCTGTGAGGGCTGCCAGCTTTCTGTCACTTCTCAGTACCATCTCAGCTCACTACAACCTCTGCCTCCTGGGGTCAAGCCGTCCTCCCACCTCAGCCTTCCAAGTAGCTGGGACTGCAAGTGCATGCCACCACACCGGGCTAATTTTTGCATGTTTTATAAAGACGGGGTTCTGCCATGTTGCCCAAGCTGGTCTTGAACTCCTGAGCTCAAGCGATCCACCTTCCTCAGCCTCCCAAAGTGCCGGGATTATAAGCACGAGCCACTGCACCAGGCCAGATCAGTTTTTGCTTTAAGAGACAATAATCAGGGTAGGATGGCTTTAGGGAATCTGTGCTGTTGTGTTTGTATACATTTTTCTGGGAAGAAGTTTCATACATTTTGTTAGATTCTTCAAGTCATTTGGGACCAAATAAATTTAAAAACAATTATTGTGGTCAAACTAGATGTATATGTGTTTGTTCATTTGTTTTTCTGCAGCATCCTCAAAGTGTGGGGTGGAGAAGGCTTTTAGGACCAGTTCTAATTTAGATCATGCCTTGTCTTTGTCGAGTGTTTCTGTCAAACTCATCTGGATATTTAAACCAAAAGCCTTGAACTTTTGTAAATTTAATAGCAAGGAAAAAATACCAAGAGCAAGGTTGAAGACTTAAGACTGAAATACATTCCTGTTCTGTTTCAATTGCAATAAGAAACTCCTTGATTTTGAATTAAGTGGTGGGTTTAGAGGAAAGAACAAGTACAATGGGGTAGGGAGGGCTTATCTTTGGAAAGCTCAGTTCAAGCTAGTTAAAAATCCTAATTTCAAATTTAAAGTATTACTGCACAATCATTTTATTATGTGCATTGTATAGTTAAAAATATAAATGTTCACTAATAATGGAAAGTGAGAGAAGTTAATGAAGAGATTATACTTCAAAGTAATGATATTAATCAGTCCTAAGCCTTCAATATATTAATACAAAAGAATTAATTCATTTGGAAGAATGTTCATTAAAGGAACATTTTTTTAAGTCACAAGATCCTCCTGCCACTAACTTTCTAAGAGGTCACCCCACTTTCCTCCCCAAAGCTTAATACACCTTTTCGTGCCGTAATATGTTCATTTCCCATTTCCATGGCTCCTTGAGGTCTGGCTTCACCAAATGCTCTCACAGCTCTGTATTTTGGCTTCTTTCCTCTGGGCATTTATTACTGACCCCCTCAAATCATCACTGAAAAGTGTGTGATGATTTTTGGTGGTCTAGGAGCTGGATGGAGCTTGTATCCTTTTGCACAACACACAAGCAGCTATAGGCCAAGCCTACTCAGAGCCCAGAGGTTTCTTCGGGGTCTGCTTCTGTGCTTGACTGTGCAGTCAGCAGCCTCACTGTGAGCCCAGCTGGCTGCTCTGCTGCACTGTCTGCACTTAGTGAGCATTGCCTTATGGAGCCGTCACCAGCAAATCTGCCACGGACGTCCCTGTGGCAATAGGGGCCCAGGACACCGTGTATAGGGTACCAAGAAAGAAACCCCTTATCCCCAACAATTCCTAGATTCTATTTTAACCAAGCAGTTTGCTCCTTTTCCCTGATCAGCTAGTTTACAGGAATTGCTAACATGGAGCAAGATTATTTTTATCCTCTTTTCATTCTTTCTTTCAACCATTTGGCATCAGCTGAGCAGTAACATCACCAAAAGTCTGGAAATCTTTAAAAAGAGGAGAGGCACTAGGCCAGTGAATCCATGAATTGGATAATCGGCCCCTGAATAATTAGGACCAGACTGTACAGTAAACAACACCCCCCTCCCCGGGAGTCAACAGCACGCCCAGCCATAAACTCTCCCTGCTGGAGATGCAAGAGTTTTCCTTCTGCCGGCAACGCCCCCAATCCTGCCCTGCATTCAAGACCACAAACAATTCCCCTTCAGCTCGGACATATCTTTCCTCACGTGGAGCGAATTTTCTGGACTTGAATGTGAATGCGACATGCTGACCTGGAATTTGCATAAGCTCCGCTTCATGTCTCTAAGTTTGCTTCAGTGAACAGATTTTGTATCTGCTGGCAAAGGCAGGCAGTGGCACTCGGAGACAGGGGCATTTGAAACCACATTTTTTGGCTCATTAAAGCCATTCCGCCGATGTTGCTCCTCATGTCATTCAATCTATTCTCAAGCCGTTTTCTCAATGGTGCACTTCAGGGAGGTTGGGCACGGATTTTGCTCGGAACTGGATCGTGTCCATAAGTCTCGTCAGGGCCAGTTTATTCTCAGGCTCTGGCAACCTTTGAATAGCTCTTCCACCTTTGGGGGCTCCCACACAAAGCCTGCTCTGCGCAGTTTGCCCATGAACCAAGATATTTGTTTCATCTTGTTTCTGAAGTCATGGGTGTCTTGACATTGCTCCCAAAGCGGGAGCAGGATCTGTTTCCACCTCACAGCAAATAGCCACTACAAATATGTACAAACTCAGAAATCACGTTGGATGTCTTGCCTATCCAGGCTGGTCAGAGAAGGGCTACAGGCACAGAGTGCTTTCAAGAAAACATGCCTGACTTGGAGCTTTCCTCATTAATTAGGGTGCTTACAGAATTTGCTCACTCCAAGTCTGAAAAGAAAACAGCTTACTTCATTGGTAGACTGAAAAACTGGCCGACTTTCTCTTCTCTTTTTTTTTTTTTTTTTTTTTTTTGTGAGACAGAGTCTTGCTCTGTAGCCCAGGCTGGAGTGCAGTGGCGCCATCTCGCCTCACTGCAACCCCCACCTCCGGGTTCAAGCAATTATCCTGCCTCAGCCTCCCAAGTAGCTGGGATTACAGGCACGCGCCACCATGCCCAGCTAACTTTTTGTATTTGTAGTAGAAACGGGGTTTCACCATATTAGTCAGGCTGGTCTCGAACTCCTGACCTCGTGATCCACCTGCCTCGGCCTCCCAAAGTGCTGGGATTACAGGCATGAGCCACGGCACTCGGTCCCGACTTTCTCTTCTTTTCCATCTCACTCTGCAGTGGGCAGTGTGGAGGGTGGAGGGAGCTGGGTGGTTTGTCCAGGTCACAGCTGCAGTTCTGTCTGTATGTGATTCTCCATATTCCTTGTTGACCTCTTTCATCCTTATCTGTGGCAGAGGCCCTGAAAGGCATTAACTGGCAGAAAAGATTCCTTGTCTAAAGCTCTGCTGCTTCTCATCCTTTCCTGCCATCCTAACGCTCCATCTGGAAACAGTGCTGTGACCTACCCAAGCACACTCCTGATTCATCCCCAGTGCCTAAGAGCTGTATTGCTCTATGGAAATACACACTGGGTAGTACATTTCCCTCCATGTACATTGGGGGCTGAATGTTAAACATTAACTGCCTGGTTAAAGGAGCTGAAGCACCTAATTCAAACTTCAGTGAGGGCTGATAACAGATATTCAGTTCCATAGACAGCTGAGATACAAATCTAGGCCTTCCCCAGGGCAATTAGGCAAGAATGAAATAAAAAGGAATCTATATTGGAAAGGAAGAAGTTAAACTATCTCTACTTTCAGATGACATAATCTTGGATATTAAAAAACCCTAAGGGGGCCGGGCGAGGTGTGTCACTCCTATAATCCCAGCACCAAGGTGGATGGATCGCTTGAGCTCAGGAGTTCAAGACCAGCCTGGGCAACATAAGAAGACCTCATCTCATTTTAAAAAGAAAAAATTAACAAGAAAAAATAAAACCTAAGGAATTCATTTAAAAACTGCTCAAATGAATAAATTTTTAAGCAAGGTTTTAGGATAAAAGATCAATACACAGGCTTAGTGCTCATGCCTGTAATCCCAGGACTTTGTGAGGCTGAGGCGGGTGGATCACCTGAGGTCAGGAGTTCGAGACCACGCTGGCCAATATGGTGAAACGCCGTCTCTACTAAAAATACAAAAAATTAGCTGGGTGTGGTGGCGGGTGCCTGTAATCCCAGCTACTCAGGAGGCTGAGGCAGGAGAATCGCTTGAACCCAGGAGGCCGAGGTTGCTGTGAGCCAAGATTGTGCCACTGCACTCCAGCCTGGATGACACAGCAAGACTCTGAATCAAAAAAAAAAAAAGACTTATTGTTGTTAAAATGGCAATACACCCTCAAGTTATTCAATAGATTCAATGCAATTCTTATCAAAATCCCAGCTGATTTCTTTGCAGAAATTGACAAGTTAATTGTAAAATTTATATCAAAATTCAAGAAACCCAGAAAAAACAAAATAATCTTCAACAAAGAACAAAATTGGAGGAGTCACACTTCCCAACTTCAACATGTGTACAAAGCCATAGTAATCAAAATAGTGTGGTCCTGGCATAGGGTAGATGTATATAGATCAGTGTAGTAGAATTGAGAGTCCAGAAATAAACTTTCACATTTACAGTTAATTGACTTTCAACAAGGGTGTCAAGACCATTCAGTGGAGAAAGAATAGTCTTTTCAACAAATGATCCTGGGACAACTGGATATACACATGTCAAAAAAAAAAAATGAAGCTGGACCTGTCTCACAATGTGTACAAATTCAGAATAGAGAAAAGACCAAAACGTAAGAGTTAATCCAATAAAACTCTTAGAAGAAAACAGGGGTGTAAATTTTCGTGACCTTGGACTTGACAATGGTTTCTTGGATATGACACCAAAAGCATGAGCAATTAAAGAAAAAAATAGATTAATTGCACACAATTCAGCTAAAAAACTTTTGTCCTTCCAAAGACACCATCAAGAAAATGAAGAGACAAGCCTACAATGAATAAGAGAAAAAATGTGCAGATAATATTACACGTATCACAGCTCAACACCAAAACACCAAATAACTAAAAAATGGGCAAAAATCTAAATAGACATTTCTCTAAGGAAGATAAATGCATGGCCAATAAGTGCATGAAAAGATGCTCAACATCATTAGCCATCAGGGAATGCAAATCAAAACCATAATTAAATGTCATCTCACACCCATTAAGATGGCTAAAATTTTTATGAAACAGAAATAACAAGTATTGACAAGGAAGTGGCAAAATTAGAACTCTCATACACTGCTCATTGGAATATATAATTAATTGTGCACCTCCATGGAATACTATATAACCATAAAAAAGAATGAGATCATGTCCTTTGCAGCAACATGGATGCAGCTGGAGGCTATTATTCTAAGTGAATTAAACACAGAAACAAAAAACCAAATACTACATGTTCTCACTTATAAGTCAGAGCTAAACATTGGGTACACATGGACATAAAGATGGGAACAATAGGCACTGGGAACTCCAAAGTGGTGAATGAGGATGGGAGGCAAGGGTTGAAAAACTACCTGTTAGGTACTATGTTCAGTATTTAGGTGATGGGTTCAGCAGAAACCCAAATCAGCATCATGCAATATATACATGTAACAAACCTGTACATGTACTCCCTGAATCTAAAATAAACATATTTTTTAAAATAAAATAAAGTGGTGCAGCTGCCTTCGAAAGCAGTCTGGCAGTTACATGAAAGGTTAAACACAAAGTTACTGTATGAGCCAGCAACTCTATTCTTAGGTATATACCCAAAAGAAATGAAAACATATGTTCACACATAAACTTGTCCACCAGTGTTCACAGAATATTGTTCATAAGAGCTAAAAGGTAGAAACGGCCCAAATGTCCATCAATGGACAAATGAATAAACACAGTATGGTATTTCCATATAATTGTATACTTTTTGGAAGTAAAAAGAAACGAAGTACTGATACATGCTACGGTATGGATGAACTTTGAAAAGATTATGCTAAGTGAAGGAAATCAGTCACTAAGTGAAGGAAGCCAGTCACTAAAGACAACATATTGTATTATTCCATTTATAAGAAATGTCCAGAATAGGCAAATCTGTAGAAACAGAGAGTAGATCATTGGTTGCCTAAGGCTGGAAGGAATCAGGGAAGGCCCTGAGGAGTGATGGCTGATAAATAAGGAGTGTGGCAGGTTTCTTTTTTGGGTTATAAAAATGTTTTAAAATTGGTGTGATGATGGCTGCACAACTCTATGAATATATGAAAAGCCACTGACTTGTACATTCTAAATTGGTGAATTGTATGATCTGTGAATTATGTCTCAATAAAGCCATTGGGAGACAATATAAATAAATACAATCCAGAGACATTGTCCTGTGGGTAAATACTAAATAGAATCATTAGGCTGGTCTCTGGATTTGTCTATTCAATGCTTTCATGTTGGTTTTCTTTATCTTCCAGCTCCAGAAAAGGCCTGTAGTTCCAGCTACTGGGGAGGCTGATGGAAGGATTGCATGAGCCTGGGAGGTCAAAGCTGCAGTGAGCTGTGATCGCACCACTGCACTCCAGCCTGGGT
This sequence comes from Homo sapiens, assembly GCF_000001405.40. Taxonomy (NCBI): domain Eukaryota; kingdom Metazoa; phylum Chordata; class Mammalia; order Primates; family Hominidae; genus Homo; species Homo sapiens. Next base: position 16,204,940 of record NC_000006.12, read on the forward strand.
GACAGAGTGAGACCCAGTCTCAAAAAAAAAAAAAAAAAAAAAAAAAAAAAAGCAAGCAAGCAAGAAAGAAAAAAGTGCTCGTTTCAGCAGCACATATACTAAAAATTGGAATGATACGGAGAAGACTACCATGGCCTCTGAGCAAGAATGACACAAAAATCCTGCAAAATAAAAAGCCTGAGCAAAGTGACTTGCCCAGGATGCCACAGTTCACAGTGGTAGAACCACAACTGGAAACCAGGACTTTGACTCCCAGGCAGCTGCCCCTTCCACGAGTTCCATGTCCCATGTGCATGCTATGTTTGTACTGGGGTCAATGGCAACCGTCTTATTTGGATATTCTTATTTTCCTCTATGCCCTGAGAAACCTGGTTTGTAGACAGAAAAGGCTGATTTTTTGCTTCTAAAAGCTTAAGTTGACATTTTGTGTTGTTTTGTTTTGTTCTCCTGGCCCAGCCTAACAAGCATTCACATAGTAGACAACACATGCTTGCTGGACCTTACTTCCTGTCTGGTGACCCAGCTCCCTAGAGACTTGAATCTCAAATAAATGTTTCTGTCAGGAGGCTGAGCTCCCAGCTGTGCAAATTGGTCACAGATGTAATTGCATTTGCCCTCTGCCCTGGAAGAAAACATGCCTGTGGTTGGGGGTTTAGATGTCTCAGAATGAAAGACATTACTCCTGACTCTGGGTAATAGCCGTGACGCTCAAAATAAGCTGCCACAGAGACACGCCATAGTGTTGCCAGATGTACAGGGCTGTTGCTACCCAGAATCTGGATCTGCACAGCCAGTTACCAAACTGTGGCCATGTCATTGGCCAATCAGGCATAGTCAAGAACCTAGCTTTTCCACTGGCTCCTCATACTTTCAAACATAACTCCATCCCCTCTTCTCCTCTCCCTAATGCCCACAAGATCTCTGCAAAGAGCTCTAATTCCAAGTTCCCTGAATGGCAGACAATGGCAGCCCTAGGACATCTACACTGCACAGGCTGCAATTGCTAGAATCTAATTAAAATAAACATTGTAACAAGCTGCTGAGCCCCGCCCAGTGCCTCAGGAGTGCAGTGATGTGACACATCTCACTGCAGCCTCCACCTCCCACCCTCCAGCAATCCTCCTGCTTTGGCCTCCCAAAGAGTGGAAACTACAAGTGTGTGCCACTACACCTGGCTAATTTTTGTACTTTTTGTAGAGATGAAGTCTCGCCATGTTATCGAGGCTGGTCTTGAACTCCTGGGCTCAAGTGGTCCACCCACCTTGGTGTCCCAAAGTGTTGGAATTACAGGTCTGAGTTACTGAATCTGGCCAGATAGATATTTTAAACCCAGTATTTGTCTGCCTTTCTTCCTCAGTAGAATTTGAATGTACCAGGTGGCTGCTAGCTACACACCTGTGTAGGATGAGGCTTATCCTATATGTCTGCCCTATTTGTCTTGTTAAATCATATTATTATTCTGAACGCTTTCCTTCTAAAGCAGACAACCAAAGCATAGGGTATTAGCTCTTCTTAGTCCTTTTCCAATCCAAACATTTAGACTTCTTTCTGCTCACCCCTGGGCAGTATCACCCTCATCAATTTCCTCTTAATTGACTAGAATGAATTGTAACTATCCCCATCAGCAATCACATCTGTTAAGGATTGCAGAGTGCCATTGTTGTACGGGAAGAGCATTTCATTTGAGCCACCAAAAATTTACTAACGTGTGGACACAGGGACAGATACAGAGGATTGCAAACTCCAGTTTCTGAAAAACTCGATTCCAAAGCAAGGGAAAAGGTGCCCTCTAGTGGTAAACACAGCACACTACACCACAGCATCCTTATTCCAGACCGGAAGCCTGGCTATTTGAATCCTATTTTCTGTTTCTTCCAGAAACCCTGAGGTCCAGACAGGATGTGACACATGAAGGTTTAAGTGAATTAAAATAGGCTGCTGACATCTAAGGCCAGGAAGAAATAATGAGTACGGATCCACTTTCACTGAGAGCAACCATCTCTGCTAAGCCACTTCTTCAATTTGGTGGCAAGTAACCAACTATCTGGAATGAGCAAGAAATATTCCCTTCCGAATTCCTTGAAAAATGTGGGGCTTAATTTAGAATATTCAAGTTCTTTTGACATACGTACTAAGACTATACAGTTTTTATAAGTATTCTAAAAGCCCGTATAAATTACAGTTGATTGGGAACTTTTAATGTAATAATTGAGTCCTGACATAAGAGACAGTGCAATGCTCAGGAAATAATGCTGGCCTGAAAGCTTGGAGATATGGACTCCGTGACACAGCCTCTGCCACTAACTAGGTGACTTCGGGCAAGTCCTTCAACATCTCTGACCTCCGTTTTCCCGTTAACAAATGAAAGAATTGGACTAATAATTTCTAAGCTTTTTCAGCTCTAAAATGATCTAATTTGGCCAGGCGCGGTGGCTCATGCCTCTAATCCCAGCACTTTGGGAGGCCAACGTGGGTGGATCACCTGAGGTCAGGACTTTGAGACCAGCCTGGCCAACTTAGTGAAACCCCATCTCTACTAAAAATACAAAAATTAGCCAGGTGTGGTGGCGTGCACCTGTAGTCCCAGCTACTCGGGAGGCTGAGGCAGGAGAATCGCTTGAACCCGGGAGGCGGAGGTTGCAGTGAGCCAAGATTGCACCACTGCACTCCAGCCTGGCAACAGAGCGAGACTTCATCTCACATAAATAAATAAATAAATAATAAAATTATCTAACTTATAAAAACTCTTTTAGGAGAGTTATATTTTGAAATAATATCTTTTGGGGATTTGTGTGTATTTCCTTCATTAACCCCAGGGTACCCTCCCTTAGCCCACTACTAAATAAAAACCAAGATTCAGGACGGGCGCAGTGGCTCAATCCCAGCACTTTGAGAGGCTGAGGCTGGTGGGTTGCTTGGGCCAGGAGTTCAAGATTAGCCTGGCCAATATGTCAAACCCCATCTCTACTAAAAACACACACAAAAATAGCTGGACGTGGTGACGCACCCCTGTTGGGAGGCTGAGGCACGAGAATCGCTTGAACCCAGGAGGCGGAGGTTGCAGTGAGCTGAGATCGTGCCACTGGATGCACTCCAGCCTGGGCAACAGAGCGAGACTGTTTAAAAAAAAAAATAGTCAAAGAACTAGTCGAACTAAGGGTGAGAAAGATGAGAATCAGCCCATGGAACATGCTTTTGCTGTCCATGAATCTAGGAAATACCAGGGCTGGGGAAAGGAGAAAGAGGAGTTAGAGAGGTGAATTACTCAAATGAGAAAAAGGGCCTGGATAGGTAGAGGTAGGAGGTCTCAGAGAGAAGTGGGAAGGAAGATCCTCAAAAGGACAAGCTTCCATGTGTGTCCACACACCAGCTCACCGCTCCAGCCCAGCCCTGGGGACAAGTATCTCTCCTGAATAGAGGGGAGGATGTGCACGCCTCCTGGAGGAGTGGGGACATGAAGAAGCATTTATTTTAGCTCCTTTCCACTGATTACAGAAGCACTAAAGAGAACAAGTTGGGAGCATCTCCACGACAGGGAGGGCAGGGCACTGCCACTGGTACACACAGATCCTGGAACTTTAGTGTGCAGGTGGACTTAATAATACTAATATTAGGAATAGAGATATGTGCACATCTGTTTTTATCAATCAATCAGGTGTTAGCATAATTTGCTATTTCCTTTTTAAGATAGGAAGTAGCTTTTGGTTGTTGAAATTGTTTCCTCTCTTGATTAAATTAATTATCCCTAAGAACTGAAGGCTTCAGTGATCTCTGAGAATTCTTCCAAATGTGAAATATAGTTATTCTAAGACATTTCAAAGCTCAGGTTATTGTATGTTGGGTCTAATGTTAGGCTTCACTGTACCAGAATTCTATTATGTGAAACATTACTTTAAATGAGTAACTCGCCACCTAAAACATGGAATTCCTTCTTTGATATGGCAGCACTGTGTGTAGTCAGGGTTTTGCATTACATCTCTCAGGCCACCCGTGCTGGCTCATGCCTGTAATCCCAGCACTTTGGGAGGTGCTGAAGTGGGAGGATTGCTTGAGCCCAGGAGTTCAAGACCAGCCTGGGCTGCTACATGGCAAAACCTTGTCTCTACAAAAAGTACAAAAAATTGCCAGGCAGTATGCCTGTAGTCCCAGCTACTAGGGAGGCTGAGGCAGGAGGATCGTTTCAGTCTGGAAGTTTGAGGTTGCAGTGAGCTGTAATTGTGCACTGCACTCCAGCCTGGGCAATGGAGTGAGATCCTTTCCCTCCAACCCCCCAAAAATTAACAAATTACCTGGGCATGGTGGCATGCACCTGTAGTTCCAGGTACTCAAGAGGCTAACTTGGGAGGATCCCTTAAGCCCAGGAGTCCAAGGCTGCAGCGAGCTGTGATTGCACTACTGCACTCCAGCCTGGACCACAGAGCAAGACCTTGTCTCAAAAAAAAAAAAAAAAAAAAATCTCTGTATTAAACTATCCACCAGAGGCAGGACAGATGCCAGAATGTGTTTTAACATTAACATAAATGTATTAAACAAATACATTCAATCAAATATAGTACTAGATGCTACAAAAAAAGTAAAAGCAGTCTTAAATTTGATTATAGATAGAGGAAGCAATGTGCAACAAAGAAAGAGTTGTTTTATTACTAAAGGGAAAGCGAGTAAATAAGCTTATTTGTAAGTGTTCAAGTTTCTCAAGGAAGACTTCTTAAAACACAAGAATTTCATTTTATGGCATTGTGCTTGTTTTTAAGGTGGGGTTGAAAGAAGGCAGAGAAATCAATAAAACTCTCTGGCTGGATAACAGAAGCCATTTCCAGGGCAACAAGGGAGGGAGACATGCCGTGGATTTAAAGGACACAGCATTTGACTAATGCAACAAAAGAGGTGAGAAAACACAGAGGTAGAGACAAGACCCTGGGTCACACCGAGAAATGGGAAAAGTGGGGTGTAAGTCTTGGAGTTTCTCTATTTCATGCTGCAAATTGCCTTCTCTACCCGTGGGTTCCCCAGTCCCTGCCCCAGCTCACAGAACCTTCATGCTTGCTTTCTCTCTTCTGTGTCCGACAAAATTTCAGCTCAGGTAAAGATCAGAGACACACTAAATAAATATCCTTACTTTTCACAGAGGTTTTGGCATTTTAACATAAGGAAAAGGCTTATACTAGAGCTTCCCCAAGGATGGCAAACGCTGCTTCTTCCAGGGGTCTCGGTGGAAGAAGCCCAAGATGGGGACCGTGGAATCTGAATGAAGTCCGTGTTTTATCTTTAACACATATGCGCATTTTCACAATACTCGTTCATACATCTGAGTTTATTTTCATATAAAATAATAATGATATATTATTATATTACAGCTTCCATTTATTAAATGCTATGTGCTGGGCATAGTCATAAAGACTATGACATTAGCAGTCCCCAACCTTTCTGGCACCAGGGACCAGTTTCACGGAAGACGACTTTTCCACTGACAGGAATGGGGGATGGTTTGGGGATGATTCAAGAGCATTACATTTATTGTGCACTTTATTTCTGTTATTATTATATTGTAATATATAATGAAATAACTATACAACTGATCATAATGTAGAATCAGTGGGATCCCTGAGCTTGTTTTCCTGCAATTAGAGGGTCCCATTTAGGGGTGATGGGAGACAGTGACAGATCATCAGGCATTAGATTCTCATAAGGAGCACAAAACCTAGTTCACAATAGGGTTTGTGCTCCTGAGAATCTAATGCTGCCACTGACCTGACAGAAGGCTGAGTTCAGGTGGTAATGCTCCTTCGTCCACTTACTTCCTGCTATGTGGCCCAGTTCCTGACAGGCCATGGACAGGTACCAGTCCACAGCCCAGGGATTGGGGACCCCTGATATACATCCATTATCTTGTTTAATCTTCTTGTTTTTTTTTTTTTTTTTTGAGATGGAGTCTTGCTCTGTTGCCCAGGCTGGAGTGGAGTGCAGTGGCCTGATCTCAGCTCACTGCAACCTCCGCCTCACAGGTTCAAGTGATTCTCCTGCCTCAGCCTTGCGAATAGCTAGGATTACAGACACGTGCCACCACGCCCAGCTAATTTTTGTATTTTTAGTAGAGATGGGGTTTCACCATGTTGGCCAGGCTGGTCTCGAACTCCTAACCTCAAGTGATCGGCCCTCCTTGGCCTCTCAAAGTGCTGGGATCACATGTGTGAGCCACCATGCCCAGCCTAGCCCTTTTAAGAGACACCAGAGAGCTAGCATGAGCTCTCTTTCTCTGTCTCCTCTCTCTATCTCCCTCTCTCTATCTATCTCTTTATCTCTCTCTCTGTTTCTCTGACTCTCTCTTCCTCTCTTTCTCCCTACTCTGTGGGGACACAGCAAGAAGGCATCTGTCTGGAATCCAGGAAGAGAACCCTCTCCAAAAATCAAATCAGCTGGACCCATGATCTCAGACTTCCTACTCTCCAGAACTATGAGAGAGAAATTTCTGAAATCTGTCCTCTCATGGGCTCAGGTATTAAATTTTAATACTGCAGGCTTCACAATGGGGTGTATGCACCCCTGGGTGGCTGGGCGCAGTGGCTCACGCCTGTAATCCCAGCACTTTGGGAGGCCAAGGCAGGCAGATCACCTGAGGTCAGGAGTTTGAGGCCAGCCTGGACAACATGGAGAAACCTCTGTCTCTACTAAAAATACAAAAAAAATAGCCAGGCATGGTGTTGTGCGCCTGTAATCCCAGATACTCTGGAGGCTGAGGCACGAGATTTGCTTGAACCCAGCGGCAGAGGTTGGCAGTGAGCTGAGATCACGCCACTGCATTCCAGCCTGGGTGACAGCAAGACTCCATCTCAATAAATAAATAAATAATAAAAGGGAATCCATTTCCATCAATATGTTCAACTTGCATCCACTCTCTTTTTTGAAACTGACCTGAGAATACCAGTGATGGAAAGTCAATTTTTTTTTCATCCATGCCCTCTTATCAGTGCACAGATAAGGTTCTCAGCTTCCCAAAAGAAAGGTATCCCTCGTGCCCAACCTATCTTCATGGTGTTGCATTGCTCTGGCATATAGAATCTCTGGATGCTCTTTGAAATATTCATGTGAGTATCGGGAAAAGAGATGCATTTTACCATTGGGTACAAATCATTTAGCAACTTGGATTTCTAAATTTTTGCTTTCAATGAAAAAGAAGGACATGACCAAGGTGTTAGCTGGTAGATCGTTGTAAGTTAATGCTTGTTATAGACAGATCGCCATTAGACTTTTAACATATAATTCAGAAAGAGTTCAAAGAATTAAGGAATATTTCTCTGGGGTTTGTTTGTTTGTTTAGAGACACGGTCTCACTTTGTTGACCAGGCTAGAGCGTAGTGGCACAATCATAGTTCACTGCAGCCTTGGACTTTTGGATTCAAGGGATAGATCCTTCAGCCTCAGCCTCCTGGGTAGCTGGGGCTACAATTACACACAACCACACCTGGCTAATTTTTAAAATTTTTTGTAGATATGGGTTCTTGTTATGTTGCCCAAGCAAACTCCTGGGCTCCAGCGATCTTCCAGCACTTGGTCTTCCAAAGTTCTGGGATTACTCATGAGCCATCATGCCTGGCCCTTGAGTGACATTTCTCTTTGTGACCGAAGTTTCTCATAACTTCTATCTATAAAGACAAACACAATAATAGGAATAAAATCACTTCTGAACTCTCTCATCCTAGCAATAAATAATACTCATTCAGGCGGGGTGCAGTGGCTCACACCTGTAATCCCAGAACTTTGGGAGGCTGAGGCAGGCAGATCACTTGAGCCCAGGAGTTTGAAACAAGCCTGGGCAACATGGCGAAACACCATCTCTACGAAAAATATACAAAAATTACCCAGGCATGGTGGCGAGCGCCTGTAGTCCCAGCTACTCAAGGGGCTGAGGTGGGAGGATGACTTGAGCCGGGGGCTCAGTTAAGGCTGCAGTGCACTGTGATTGTGTCACTGCACTCCATCCAGAACAGCAGAGTGAGGCCCTGCCTCAAAAAGTATAAACATTCATTCATGAATACATGAATTAGAAGGGAAGTGGGAGGGAAGCCCCATTTATCTATGCAGGGCGTCACCTGAATTCCAGTTCTTCCCTTTTGACCATATGGAAGGTTTGCACTTCCCCAACTGTGTTTGAAGTTAGATTTGGCCCTGGGACTGGCATGGGCTAATGAGGTATACATGGAGGTGACATGTATCATTTCCAGGCAGCCACATTCCATTTCTCCTGCCTCAGTGATCATGGGTGCAGACATTGAGAGGAAGCCTGCAGAAGCCCGGGTCCCAGAGTAACCCTGATGAGCAAAGCATCTTGTTGGGTGGACCAATAGTGTGAGCAAGAAATGCGCTTGTTCTGCATCAAGCACCCGAGTATAATCCAGCCCAAGATGCACCCAATAAAAGGTGCCTCTTAAAGAAATTTTACTTCTGATGTTTAATAATTATGTATATCCGTAATTTACTTAAGTCGTTTTGATCAGTTGTCTCTAATAAAAGTTGTAACTATTAGCAACCCCCAAAAAAAGTTTTTAACAATTAAATCATTATAGTCACAGGAAATAATGAAACATTAATTTCAATTTATAGGATTCTTTTTTTTTTTTTTTTTTTTTGAGATGGAGTCTCTCTCTGTTGCCCAGGCTGGAGTGCAGTGGCGCAATCTTGGCTCCCTGCAACCTCCACCTCCTGGGTTCAGGCAATTCTCCTGCCTCAGCCTCCCAAGTAGCTGGGATTACAGGCTCCCACCACCATGCCCAGCTAATTTGTGTATTTTTAGTAGAGACGGGGTTTTACCATATTGGTCAGGCTGTTCTCAAACTCCTGACCTCAGGTGATCCAACTGCCTCAGTCTCCCAAAGTGCTGGGATTGAAGGCATGAGCCATGGCGCCTGGCCAATTTATAGGATTTTTATGGCAGAGAAGTGTGATAGGATGATCAGGAAAAGCCTCTTATCCCAGTGCAATTTATTTCATAAAGCTGGAAATGAACCACCCCAGGATAAATTCCTGAGGGGGATTGTAACCACCCGATGGGTTCATTTTGCCTGCTGCCCAGATACAGCTGATCTATCAAGGCAGAGGAATTGCAATAAAGAGTCCAATTCATGCAGAGCAGCTGAATGGGAGATTGGAGTTTTAATATTACTGGAGTTTTATTATTATAAGGCAGTTTATTGATCTGGGTGGGAAGGCGGTTTGTTTCTGGAAATGGCTGTCATTATCTTTGTTTTTTGTTTTTGTTTTTATTTTTGTTTTTTTGAGACAGAGTCACTCTGTCACCCAGGCTGGAGTGCAGTGGCAGGATCTCAGCTTACTGCAACCTCCACCTCCCAGGTTCCAGTGATTCTCCTCCCTTAGTCTCCTGAGTAGCTGGGATTACAGTCACCCGCCACCACGCCTGGCTAATTTTTGTATTTTTAGTAAAGACAGTGTTTCACCATATTGGCCAGGCTAGTCTTGAACTCATGACCTCAAGTGCTCCATCCACCTCGGCTTCACACACTGCTGAGATTACAAGCCTGAGCCACCGTGCCCAGCCTGTTATCATCTTTGTTTCAAAGTTAAACTATAAACTGAGCTCCTCCCAAAGTTAGTTGATCCTCTGCCCAGGAATGAACAAGGACAGCTTGGAGGTTAGAAGCAACATGGAGTCGGTTAGGTCAGATCTCTTTCACTGTCATAATTGTCTGTTATAATTTTTGCAAAGCTGGTTTCAGGATGTGAAAATAGAAGGTCAAGGACAAAAATGAACAATACAACATTTCAACTCTAAAAGTAGAATTTTTTCACGTGTTTTTTAAGCAAATGGGGGTGGACCCCAAGGAGTCATGGTATTAGTTTTCAAAACAATTTGGCTTGAAATCAGCTAGAAATCACACGGGTTTGTTTTGTTTTGTTTTGTTTTGTTTTGAGATGGAGTCTTGCTCTGTCGCTAGGCTGGAGTGCAGTGGCATGATCTTGGCTCACTGCAACTTCCACCTCCCGCGTTTAAGCAATTCTCCTGCCTCAGCCTCCCAAGTAGCTGGGACTATAGGCGCCCGCCACAACGCCCAGCTAATTTTTTTTTTTTTTTTAAGTAGAGACAGGGTTTCACCATGTTGGCCAGGATGGTCTTGATCTCGTGGCCTGGTGATCCACCCAACTTGGCCTCCCAAAGTGCTGGGAGTACAGGCGTGAGCCACTGTGCCCGGCTGAAATTACATCTTTTAAAATTGACAAACTTATGATTAAAAATTTTTGATGTCGATTAAAAGTATGTAGAAGAATAAATAGTTTTATAAAATTTTGAAGGAATACTTGAACCAAAAATTTGAAGATGACAGTCTCATCTACCTAAGGCAGGGTTCCTCAGCCTTGGCACCACTGACGATTGGGTTATGTAATTCTTTGTTGTGGGGCGGTGCTGTGCACTGTGAACTGTTCAGCAGCATCCGTGGCTTCTATCAACCAGAAGCCACTATCGCCCCCCATCCCGTCCAGTCGTGACAACCGCAAATGTCTCTAGACATTACTAAATGTTCCCTGGAGGAGCAATAAAGAGTTGAAAAACACAGACCTGTGAGTAAAAATCTATGCCAAAAATGCTTTTCTTGTCTACTGGCCACGACTGTCTTCAAAGTCATAAATTGTCCAGAAAACACTGACAGTGACTCTGAAATACCCTCAACCCTATTGTCTATTTTCCTCCAAGCTTAACAGAAGTGGCCAGGAAAGGATGACTTATACCAAAACCAACTGGTATAAGTCAGCTGACTCATGCATGTTTCCTGCCTGCCCCTGATAAGCATGGAAGCGTGTGACCTCTGGTATAAACTGAAATGGAATTCAGTTCTCCCGAAGAATGGGAAACTTGAGTTTAGCACTACTCAGGGCTGTTTCTTGTCTACCTACTTTTTTTTTTTTTTTTTTTTTTTTTTTTTGAGACGGAGTCTCACTCTGCTGCCTAAGCTGGAGTACAGTGGTGCAACCTCGGCCCACTGCAACCTCCACCTCCCGGGTTCAAGTGATTCTCCTGCCTCAGCCTCCCAAGTAGCTGGGATTACAGGCGCGCAACACCGCGTCTGGCTAATTTTTGTATTTTTAGTAGAGACGGGGTTTCACCACGTTGGCCAGGCTGGTCTCGAACTCCTGACCTCAGGTGATCCACCTGCCTCAGCTTCCCAAAGTGTTGGGACTACAGGCGTGAGACACTGCGCCCGACCTCCAGATACCTTGTTTTTAATTCTTTTGAGTATATACGCAGAAGTGGAATTGCTGGATCATATGGTAATTCTGCTTTTAATTTTCTGAGGAACCTCCATCCCGTTTTCTACAGCAGCTACACTTTTCAGATTGTCTTTTCAGGCTTTCACACTTCTGAGGACCTAATGACTCCTCCCAGGGGGGCCTCCAACTCGACTCAGCTGTCCTGTGGCCCCCACCTAAAAGCGGGCTCAGCGCACAAGGACCGTTTTCCACACCTCTGTGACTGCATCCCCACCCAATCACCAGCACCCATTCCCCTGCCTGCCAAACTATTCTTGGAAAACCCTAGACTCTGAAATTTCAGGGAGACTGATTTCAGTAATAAAACTCGTCTCCCAGTCAGCCAGCTCTGCGTGAATTAAACTTTTTCTCTGGCAGTTCCCGTCTTGATAAATCTGCTCCATCTGGGCAGCAGGCAAGGAAAAACTCCTACCCTTCCCAGACTCTAGTATCCATTTGAGAGGTGACAGCTTGCTGGCAGCCCTCACGCGCTCTCGGCGCCTTCTCTGGCTGGGCTCCCACTTTGGCGGCACTTGAGCCCTTCAGCCCCCCGCTGCACTAAGGGACCCCCTTCCTGGGCTGGCCAAGGCCGGAGTCGGCTTCCTCAGCTTGCGGGAAAGTGTGGCGGGAAAGGCGCGGGCGGAAACCGGGGCTGCGCGGGGTGCTTGCCGGCCAGCGCGAGTTCCGGTTCGGTGTGGGCTCGGCAGGCCCCTCACTCGGAACGGCCTGTCGGCCCTGGCGGCCCCGGGCAGAGGGGCTTAGCACCCGGGCCAGCGGCTGCGGAAGGTGTGCTGGGTCCCCCAGCAGCGCCGGCCCACTGGCGCTGCGCTCAATCGATTTCTCGCCAGGCCTTAGCTGCCTCCCCGCGGGGCAGGGCTCAGGACCTGCAGCCCACCATGCCTAGCCTCCCCACCCCACTATGTGGGCTTAGGTGTGGCCCGAGCCTCCCCCGACAAGCACAGCCCCCTGCCCCACGGTGCTGAGTCCCATTGACCACCCAAATGACTGAGGAGTGCGGGGACACAGTGAGTGACTAGCAGACAGCTTCCACCTGCAGCCCCAGTGCAGGACCCACTGGGCGAAGTCAACTGGGCCTCTGACCCTGGTGGGGAATTAGCGAACCTTTACGTCTAGCTAGGGGATTGTAACTACACCAATTAGCATTCCGTTATCTAGCCCAAGATTTGTAAACACACCAATCAGCACCCTGTGTCTAGCTAAGGACTTGTGAATGCAACAATCCACACTGTATCTAGCTATTCTAGTGGGGACGTGCAGAACTGTGTCCGAAACTGGTGGCCTCTATGGCTTATAAGAATGAAGCCGCAGACACTCGCCCTGTGTGTTTCAGCTGTTACAATATCCCGTCCAGAGTTTCTTTCAGTGGGTTTCTGATCTCGCAAGCTCAGAACTGAATCTGGAGACCTTCGCGGTGTTACAGATCTTAAGACAGCACGTACTGGAGGTGTTCCTTCCTCCTGTGGGCTTCTGGTCTTACCGGCTTCAAGAGTGAAGTCGCAGACCTTTACTAGTGAATATTACAGATCCATATAAAACAAAGTTGAACCTAAGAAACCAAAGAAAAACTTTCACAGCCACCTTGCGCAGCCTGCTTTTATTCTCTTATCTGGCCCCACCCACATCCTGCTGATTGGTAGAGCCCAGTGGTCTGTTTTGATAGGGCACTGATTGGTGCGTTTACAATCCCTGAGCTAGACACAAAGGTTCTCCACGTCCCCACTAGATTAGCTATAGTGTCCAAACGTTCTCCAAGGCCCCACCAGAGTAGCTAGAGTGTCGATTGGTGCATTCACAAACCCTGAGCTAGACACAGGGCGCTGATTGGTGTGTTTACAAACCTTGAGCTAGATAGAGTGCCGACTGGTGTATTTACAATCCCTGAGCTAGACATAAAAAGGTTCTCCATGTCCCTACCAGACTCAGGAGCCCAGCTAGCTTCACCCAGTGGATCGCACACCGGGGTTGCTGGTGGAGCTGCCTGCCAGTCCCGCACCGTGTGCCTGCACACCGGGGCTGTAAATGGAGCTGCCTGCCAGTCCTGCATCATGTGCTAAGTCCCTCATTGCCTGGGGCTAGCCGGGCCAGCCAAGCCCACGCCCACCCGGAACTGCAGCTGGCCCACAAGTGCCGCGCGCAGCCCGGGTTCTCGCTCGCACCTCTCTCTCCACACCTCCCTGCAAACTTAAGGGAGCCAGCTCCAGCCTTGGCCAGCTCAGAAAAGGGCTCCCACAGTGCCGCGGTGGGCTGAAGAGCTCCTCAGGTGCAACCAAAGTGGGAGCCCAGCCAGAGGAGGCGCCCAGAGCGAGTGAGGGCTATGACGACTGCCGGCACGCTGTCACCTCTCAGAACCTTTATGTCTAGCTCAGGGATTGTAAACGCACCAATCAGCACCCTGTCAAAACAGACCACTTGGCTCTCTGAAAAATGGACCAATCAGCAGGATGTGGGTGGGGCCAGATAGAATAAAAGCAGGCTGCCCGAACTAACAGCGGCAATCTGGTTGGATTGTATTCGATAATGTGGAGGCTTTAGTTGTTTTCTTGTTTGCAACAAATTTGGTTGCTGTTCTCTGGGTTTATGCTGTGTTTATAAGCTGTAATGCTCTTTGGTGAAGATTTGCAATTTCTCTGAGAGCAGTGTAGATCACGAACCCGCTGAGAAAAGCGAACAACTCCAGAGGCACTATTTTAAGAGGTGTGTTACTCACTGTGAAAGTCTGCACCTTTATTTCTGGGCCAACGAGATGACAAGCTCACCGGAAGGAAAACTGAACACATCCAAATAAAACAAACTCCAGACACGCCACTTTTAGAACTGTAACACTCATTGCGAGGGTCCACAGCTTCCTTCTTGAAGTTAGTGAGACTAAGAACCCACTATTTCTAGACACACTTTATTTTTATTTCTATGCTAACTACTTGATTAAAGGCAGCTTACTAAGGAAATAAGGCAAAGGATCAGTGGGTCGAGGAGAAAAAAAGTAGCAACCTCCTCCTTTGCATATTCTGCAGGTAAACCAGCATGAACTGAGTAGTGAGGTCTTCATTCAGTAACACAGGACCAGGGAACATAGGCTCATAAAGTGTTTGCAAAAGCCAGATGCTATGTGGCTGTTTAGCTGTCCAAGTTAGGGGCTATTTTTCTTGCAGCCTTATTTAACAACCACAGCCCAGCAGGGGCAAGAAGGACAACACAGAAAAGAAACTAAACCCTTGGTTTTGAAAGTCTGGAGAAACGAATAATTCAGGTACTCAGAGAGATACGCAAAGAGCCAGGAGACCAGATTTGATCTGGGTTTGTGCCTTCCGGTACTGGGGGGAAAATCTGCTTGCGGAGTTCGGAATACTCATTTGGTTTCTACTGTGCCCTGCTTTTCAAAGAGGCACCCTCTTTAAAAATTATAATAAGGCCGGGCACGGTGGCTCACGCCTGTAATCCCAGCACTTTGGGAGGCCAAGGCAGGCGGATCACGAGGTCAGGATATCGAGACCATCCTGGCTAACATAGTGAAACCCCATCTCTACTAAAAATACAAAAAATTAGCCGGGCGTGGTGGCGGGCGCCTGTAGTCCCAGCTACTCGGGAGGCTGAGGCAGGAGAATGACGTGAACCTGGGAGGCGGAGCTTGCAGTGAACTGAGATCTAGCCACTGCACTCCAGCCTGGGCGACAGAGCGAGACTTACATCTCAAAAAAAAATAAAAATAAAAGTGAAAAGGGGGAGATGAGAGCAGAGTGTTGAAATCTTCCCGCTTGCTTACTTTCTCTTTGTTTCCTCCAGATGTTTGTAAATGCAAAGGAACAAAAAGCAAATTCATTGCAATAGCTGTATGAACAGCTTAAGTTGTCCTACTGGTGTCCCAGGTCACCTTGTCAATAAAGGCAAGAATGCAGCCCTAGTATGTAACTGATAGCAGACATTAGGAACTAGAGTGGGGGCCGGGCGAGGTGGCTTACGCCTGTAATCCCAGCACTTCGGGAGGCCGAGGCAGGCGGATCACCTGAAGTCAGTTTGCGACCAGCTTGGCCAACATGGTGAAACCCCGTCTCTATTAAAAATACAAAAATTAGCCGGGCGTGTTGACATGTGCCTGTAATCCCATCTACTTGGCAGGCTGAGGCAGGAGAATCGCTTGAACCTGGGAGGCAGAGGTTGCAGTAAGCCAAGATCGTGCCACTGCATTCCAGCCTGGGAGATAGAGTGAGACTTTGTCTCTTAAAAAAAAAAAAAAAAAAAAAAAAATTTGTCTACTTTAACATTCTGGGTAAAAGCATGGGCACGAGCCCACAGTGGGCTCTCAGTAAATCCTGATAACCTGAAAGTACTACTGTCCCTCTACTTTTCCTTTCACCTCAATCTCATTTTAATAAGACACCTCTGCAGCCAAGAGGCAGTATGGCACAGCGGTTAAGAGTTGGCTTCCGGAGCAGAAAGATCTTTGCTGTTCAGCTTTTTTGCTTTGCTTTGTTTTTAGACAGAGTTTCGCTCTTGTTGCCTAGGCTGGAGTGCAATGGCGTGATCTCAGCTCACTGCAACCTCCACTTCCCAAGTTCAAACAATTCTCCTGCCTCAGCCTCCCGAGTAGCTGGGACTACAGACTACAGGACTACAGGACCACGCCTGGCTAATTTTGTATTTTTAGTAGAGACAGAGTTTCACCATGTTGGTCAGGCTGGTCTCAAACTCCTGACCCCAGGTGATCCACCCACCTTGGCCTCCCAAAGTGCTGGGATTACAGGTGTGAGCCACCGTGCTCAGCCCTGCTGTTCAGCTTTAGGCAAGTTACATAACTAATTTATCTGCCTCAATTTCCACATTTGTAATCTGAGTACAGTAATAGTATTTAATGCACAAATTTGTTTGAGGATTGAGATCATGTGTTCCAAGCACTTAATAGGGTGCCTAGAATATAATACAGTAATTGTTCAACAAATGCTAACTAATACTATTATATATCTGTATAGCTGTCATTGACTTTTGCATTCAATAATATGATGATCTGCACGTGTACAACAGCTGTTCATGTTTGAAGAACTTTATAAATAATAATTCTTCTAAAGAAAACCCTATGTGCTGATTTGCTTTGATTTGTTCAAATAGGGTAAATAAAACAGGCAACAGACCCAATATTGGTCAAAGAGCTTCCTGAAGTCTTCCTTAAGTCACGTGAGATGCACATTCAGTTCAAGTGGAACAAAGCAATGCTTTACCTTCTTGTTTCAGCTCTCATACTGTAAATAAGTGTCTTTTTTTTTTTTTTTTTTGAGACAAGGTCTTGCTGTGTTCCCCAGGCTGGAGTACAGTGGTGAGATCAGGGTTCACGAAATCCTCCCACCTCAGCCTCCCAAGTAGCTAGGACTACAGGCGTTTACCACCACGCCTGGCTAATTTTTTTAATTTGTAGAGATGAGGTCTCCAGTATGTTGCCCCAGCTGGTCACGAACTGCTGGGTTCAAGGGACCCTCTTGCCTCAGCTTCCCAAAGTGCTGGGATTACAGGTGTGAACATGGCTCAGTTTCTTTTTTACAGTTGATCTAGTGTCTTGGTTTTCACATAGTTGTGCTTTTTATTGGAAATTTCACTGTTTAAAATGGCCCCAAACTCAGTGCTGAAGTCCCACAGCTTTCTATCTCTCCTTCTTTGTGTCTTTTTCTTTTTCTTTTTCTTTTTTTTTTTTTTTTGAGATGTAATTTCACTCTTGTTGCCCAGGCTGGAATGCAGTGGTGCAATCTCGGCTTACTGCAACCTCCGCCTCCCTGGTTCAAGCGATTCTCCTGCCTCATCCTCCCAAGTAGCTGGGATTACAGGTGCCCACCACCATGCCCAGATAATTCTTTTTATTTTTAGTAGAGACAGGGTTTCACCACATTGGCCAGGCTGGTCTCGAACTCCTGATTCAGGTGATCCTCCCACCTCAGCCTCCCAAAATACTAGGATTACAGGTGTGAGCCACCACACCCAGCTTTGTGTCTTTTCTTATTTGCTTTTTTCTTTCAGGGAATACATACTTCAATGTGACCTCTATTTGCTTTATTTGGTAATCAGATACCTTACAGCAAGGTAGCTTTCTCTCTTTTTTTTTTTTTTTTTTTTTTTTTGAGAGGGAGTTTTGCTCTTGTTGCCCAGACTAGAGTGCAATGGCACGATCTCGGCTCACTGCAACCTCTGCCACAAATGTTCAAGTGATTCTCTTGCCTCAGCCTCCTGAGTAGCTGGGACTACAGGCATGTGCCACCACGCCCAGCTAATCTTGTATTTTTGGTAGAGATGGGGGTTTCTCCATGTTGGTCAGGCTGATCTTGAACTCCTGACCTCAGTTGATCCACCTGCCTTGGCCTACCAAAATACTGGGATTACAGGTATAAGCCACCTCGCCCGGCCAAAGGTACCTTTCTCAAGCTACAAAATTATTCTCTGTGTATTTAAATTCTCCCATTTTAAGCAAAGAGCAGAAGTCCACAGCTCTCACTGCCTTTTGTAAAAGTCTAAACCCATGAGGAGATGATGTTGGGTGTCAGGAACAGGAGAGAGGAGCAGCACCTTAGAGAGAACACAGTGGGGTGAGGAAGGGGAAATATTCTTCTCAATCCTGAAGGGGAGAAAGTGTTTTCTGCAAACCTGTCCTTCACCCGCCTTCAAATCAGCACCAGGAGGATATGCCCCAGAGACAACGGAAAGGACTCCAGACACAGGGCTCCCAGTCCCAGTCAAGATTCCCTCACCCACAAGTGACAAAGAAGCATCAGAGCCACAGGACTTGAAGGGACCTTGTGGGCCAGGACAGTGGAGACTTCTGGTGTGGCAGATGATTAAAACTGAGGCAGCCACTCGTCCTTTGTCACTGTAAGACCTGGCACATTTGGTGTGGGGAAAGCCCCAGCAATGACTGAAAATGAATCCTGGGCCCCCATCTCAGCAAGATGAGGGGCCAGAAACCAAGTACAAGATATCTGAAAGAAAGTAA
The DNA here is from genome assembly GCF_000001405.40 of Homo sapiens. Classification (NCBI taxonomy): domain Eukaryota; kingdom Metazoa; phylum Chordata; class Mammalia; order Primates; family Hominidae; genus Homo; species Homo sapiens. The sequence goes on from NC_000006.12 coordinate 16,223,181, forward strand.
AGAAGGACAGCTTTCCTGCATATGGAGTTTGTGAGCTGAGAGTTGTAAGGACCACACAGCAAAAGGAAAGGACGAAGACTTGCTAAATGGGGATGGGAAGGAAAGAGAAATTATTACCCATAGCAGGTGGGTATAGTTACCTGGAAATTGAATTATTTTGGCCTAAGCATTATTAAATATTTCAAGGTGCTTAACTTTTCTTAAAAGCGGCCTTCAAGGCCAGGCACGGTGACTCACACCTGAAATCCCAATGCTTTGGAAGGCTGAAGCAGGAAGATTGCTTGAGCCCAGGAGTTTGAGGCTGCAGTGAGCACCGCTGCACTCCGCCAGCCTTGGTGGTAGAGCAAGAGCCTGTTGTTGAGGTAAACTGAGGAAAGGAGAGGCCAATATGAGAGAAACAAGAGGATTGTTTATTTTTAAGTACGCATCAGCCCAGTAGATTCATATCCAAAAAGCTGAGCATTAAACAAAGACAGAGCGGGGTTTTTATAAGCGGACTTACAATAAATAAAACAAAAGCAGTTAATCATAGATAGGTCACATAATCTATAGCACAGCATAACTTGTGGCCTTGCATAGCCAGTGGCCTTGTAGCTGCATTGAAAGAAAAACATGAACTGGCTAAATAGAGACATTTGTAAAACAGAATCATGCTTAAGAAGCCTGGGAAAGGAGTAACAGTAAAAGAATTTGTCTTTCTCCTTTTTTTTCCCTTCAAGCTTGCTCTGGAGAGGGGGCGTCTGGAGCCCATTCCTTTGGCCTTGGCTTCTTAAACAGTGTTATTTTATAATTGTCCTTGAAGTGAGCTTGCTGCGCTTTCCCCTGCTAGGCAGAGGAACACTTGTTCTTTTCTTTTTAACCCTTGCCTTTCCTGTTACTTTTCTTAGAGTGAATGAATGCATATTTATTTGTAAATGTCTGCCTCAGTTTACCCCCTTTGATGCCTTTTATAAAATAAGTTTAATAGAAGGCATTACTATTACTTAGCTCTGCCTGTAGAGACAAGTTTTCTTCTTTAGACAAAGGTTGATATTTATGCATAGCCATTAGCTGACTGGTAGTTTGCCTAGCTATTATTGCCTCTATAGTTGATTGAGTGCTTCTACCAAGGAGAGGTAAGAGACAAAGGAGTATTAAGCAACTCCTAGTATGACCAGAACCACTCCTATTAAAGTCTTGAACCCTCCAAAAAAATGAAAACCAGCCTCCAAAGAATCTAGAGCCCACCCTTTCCAAGTTTGAACTGGAACATGGGCTAATCTTCTCATTCTTGCAGTTATTTCCATAATTGCCTTTCCATTGTCATCGATTTCCAGGCAGCAATATGTTAGATTGAACTTTCCACATGCTCCTCCTTCCCGGGCTAGGAGGTAGTCTAAAGCTAATCTGTTCTGATAGATAGTGTTCCTCATTTTTGTGGCTTGCTGGGCCAGATGGGTCCGGGTTCTCTTTTTGATAACGTATACGAAGGTTGCTGGGTATGTGTGTACGTAGACATGTATGGGGTAACCTGCACTCCACGTGGGTAAGTCTGGCTTTAAAATAGTGAAATTTACAGGATTACAGGTTTTTGCTTCACAATCTGGTTTCATCGGCATTTTGGTAAGTATAATTGACCTTTGTTGTGTGCTAGGGTGCTATGATATGCAATACCGACAGTCTTTCTCTGGGGTCCCAGGGGAACAAAGTGGAGTTACTCTTGGCATGCATACTTATTTGTAGTTATTTCTATAGTATCTTTCCAAAGGTAAGTTTCCACAGACGGGTGAGTCTTGGTATGCTACCTGACAAGCATCAAAATACAGAGAAATAGGCCCTCAGTAAAAGGGAGGCACCCTGGTTTGGTTTAAGAGGGGACCTTCTTTTGACCCTGCACGAATTTCAAACCATTCACCAATTGAAAACTTGGGGTCAGTCATTTATGCAGCCAACAGACACATGAAAAAATGCTCATCATCACTGGTCACCAGAAAATGCAAATCAAAACCACAATGAGATACCATCTCACACCAGTTAGAATGGCAATCATTAAAAAGTCAGGAAACAACAGGTGCTGGACAGGATGTGGAGAAATAGGAACACTTTTACACTGTTGGTGGGAGTCTAAACTAGTTCAACCACTGTGGAAGATAGTGTGGCGATTCCTCAAGGATCTAGAACTAGAAATACCATTTGACCCAGCAATCCCATTACTGGGTATATACCCAAAGGATTATAAATCATGCTACATAAAGACACATGCACACATATGTTTATTGCTGCACTACTCGTAATAGCAAAGACTTGGAACCAACCCAAATGTCCATCAATGATACACTGGATTAACAAAATGTGGCATATATACACCATGGAATACTATGCAGCCATGAAAAAGGATGAGTCCATCTCCTTTCTAACAACATGGATGAAGCTGGAAACCATCATTCTGAGCAAACTATTTCAAGGACAGATAAACACTGCATGTTCTCACTCATAGGTGGGAATTCAATGGGAAAACTTGGGACAGAGCAGGGAACATCACTGACCAGGGCCTGTCGTGGGGTGGGGGGCAGGGGGGAGGGATAGTATTAAGGGAAATACCTAATGTCAATGACGAGTTAATGGGTACAGCACACCAACATGGCACATATATATATATACCTGTGTGACAAACCTGCACATTGTGCACATGTACTCTAGAACTTATAATAAAAAGAAAACTTTAAGATCATAAGGTTGGTTATTTCCTGGGTCACAAATTGAGTACGTGGTCTGATTATAAACACAAGTTCCTAAGCAAGTCCCTGTACACCAATAATTATGGTACAACAGCGTTCTGGTTATACTGTTCCCAGACGAAGTAGTATGTGTACAGTGAGGACACCCTTCTGTGGGTGCTTGTGTCTACAATTGGTGGGTTTTATGGTCTCACTGACTTCAAGAACAAAGCCGCTGACCCTTGTAGTGAGGGTTAGAGTTCTTAAAGGATGCATATCTGGAGTTTGTTCCTTCTGACACTTGGATGTGTTCAGTTTCTTCCTTCTGGTGGGGTTCGTGGTCTCGCTGGCTCAGGAGGTAAGCTGCAAACCTTCGCGGTGAATGTTACGGCTCTTAAGGCAGGGCATCTGGAGCTATTCACTCCTCCCAGAGAATTCATGGTCTTGCTGGTTTCAGGAATGAAACTGCAGACCTTCACAAATGAGGGTCACAGCTCATACAGGCAGTGTACACCCAAAGAGCGAGCAGCAACAAGACTTACTGCAAAAAACAAAAGAACAAAGGCAAGCGCAGCAGGTTGCTATTGCTGGCTCGGGCAGCCTGCTTTTATTCTCTTATCTGGCCCCACCCACTTCCTGCTGATTGGTCCATTTTACAGAGAGCCAAGTGGTCTGTTTTGACAGGGTGCTGATTGGTGCGTTTACAATCCCTGAGCTAGACATAAAGGTTCTCCATGTCCCCACTAGATAAGCTAGATACAGAGTGTCAATTGGTGCATTCACAAACCCTGAGCCAGACACAGGGTGCTGATTGGTGTGTTTACAAACCTTGAGCTAGATACAGAGTGCTGATTGGTGTATTTACAATCCCTTAGCTAGACATAAAGGTTCTCCAAGTCCCCACTAATCAGGAGCCCAGCTGGCTTTACCCAGAGCATCCCGCACTGGGGCTGCAGGTGGAGCTGCCTGCCAGTCCCATGCCATGCGCGCCGACACTCCTAAGCCTTTGGGTGGTCAATGGAACTGGGCGCCGTGTAGCAGGGGGCGGCACTCTTCGGGGAGGCTTGGACAGCACAGGAGCCCACGGAAGGGGGTGGGGAGGCTCAGGCATGGTGGGCTGCAGGTCCCCAGCCCAGCCCAGCCCCGCCCCGCCCCGCCCCGCCCTGCGGGGAGGCAGTAAAGGCCCGGCGAGAAATCGAGCGCAGCGCCGGTGGGCCGGCACTGCTGGGGGACCCAGCCCACTCTCCGCACCTGCTGGCCCAGGTGCTAAGCCCCTCATTGCCCCGGGCTGGCAGCCGGCCAGGCGCTCCGAGTGCGGGGCCCGCCATGCCCACAGCCACCCGGAACTCGTGCTGGCCCGCAAGCACCGCGCGCAGCCCGGGTTCCGCCCGCGTCTCTTTCTCCACACCTCCCTGCAAGCTGAGGGAGCCGGCTCCGGCCTCTGCTAGCCCAGGAAGGGGCTCCCACAGTGCAGCGGCGGGCTGAAGGGTTCCTCAAGTGCCGCCAAAGTGGGAGCCCAGGCAGAGGAAGCGCCGAGAGTGAGCGAAGGCTGTGAGGGCTGCTAGTACCACAGCTGCCAGCATGCTGTCACCTCTCACTTCTAGCATGGTTAAGGGGGGTAACAACAACAAAACAATGCACAGCATATTCATATCCAGCAAGGACAAAAGAGGTTCTTACCTGGGGAAGGAGGTTGAGCACAGCAACAAAACAATAGTAAAACAGTATTACAGGAAAGCTTCTAGTCCTAAGATTTCTAGCTACATTTACTTGCTTGACGAATCAAGCTTCAGTCCTGCATAGACTAGTCAGCTTCTGGTGTGTGACTAGAGCAAGGATTGTTGTTTCCTCAAGCTTCAGCCATGCATAGACTGGTCAGCCTCCGGAGTGAGCAGAGCAGGGCTGTCGTCCTCAGCAGCAACTCGGTCTTGTCGCAGGATCAGCCGGGTCAAATGGTCTGGGTTCTGCTGACTGGTTTACTTGTACCTGAGCTGCCAGTTTCAGCCAACTGTGGTGGATCCAAGGCATAACACCTGCAACTTTAACAGCAGTAGGAGTGAACAAGATTACCGTATGGGGCCCATCCCACATGGGTCTTAGGAAGTTGGGTTCTACTTTTTAACTTAAACAACAGAATCTCTAGGTTTAAATGGGTGTCAGGTTTATAGGCATTTTTTCATGTACCTAATTATGAACACTTCGCATGGCTATTTCTAAAGCCTGCATTTGTTTTCTTAAAGTTAATCCCCTAGTTCCTGGAGATCACCTTTAATTTGACCTATGGTTTTGGGGTGGCCAACTGAACAAAATCTTATAGGGCAAATACCCAGTTTGTTTGGTGGGGGTGCACCTGACTCAGAGGAGGACCACAGGCAAAACCTGATCCTATCTCAGATGAGGTTCCTGGCAATATTTCTTCAGTAGCTGCTTGAGTGTCCAGTTCATGCGTTCCACTTTTCCTGAATTTTGCGGCCGAAGGCTGTGTGTAGCTTCCATTTTATTTTCAACAGTTTTGTTAAATCTTGCACTATTTCAGCTACAAATGCCGACCCATTGTCTGACTTTAAAGTTAGAGGCAGTCCAAACCTGAGGGTAATGTCTCTTAACAGTACTTTAGTCACTTCTCGTGCTTTTTCTGTCCTAGTGGGGGAGGCCTCAATCCATCCTGAAAAAGGTGCAAATAAACACTAGCATATACCAATAGCCTCTGGCGTGAGGCATTTCGGTAAAGTTTATAAGCAAGTCTCACAAGGAATGAAGGCATGGCTCCTTCTCCTGTTCAGTTTCCCAGAGAAGGGATTCTTGTTCTCCCCACCTTTGTAACTTTATATAGTGGCGTAGCCATCAGTGAGAAACTTGGAATCCAGATACACAGAATCCTGCTGCCTTCAACTTCTAATGTGACCATGGGCTCCTGGAGACCTGATGAAAAGGAGCCCGGTTTGTCCTAGTCCTCACATCCTTCAGCTCCTGCCAGCCCGAGCAGATGAGCATCTGGTCTTTCTAAGGTGTGGCAGCCCTTGGCCGATGACTTCTTTATACCACAGCTTTACCACTCTCTTTATTACCTTCTGGACATTTATCCTTCCAGGGTCCTTTCTTTTTCCGTCTCACACATTGATCTCTTTCTAGCCTTGTCGGGCTCTCAAATCCCTGCCTAACTTGACCCCTTCCATGTCCACATCCTTGTCCACGTCCTCTCACATTGCTAATCTCTTTTTCTATAAAGACTGCTGCCAACAGATCCGCATTTTTCTTAAGTCTTTGCTCTGCTTTCTTTTTCCTTCCTGAGTTCTGCTCCTACGGCTGGCAGGGCCAGGCACACGGGCTCTGCCCCCACGCACGCACTGCCATCGGTCTTTTCTGTTTCTTTCCAATTTTCCTTTTTACTTTCTTCTTTCCTTTTTCACACTTACTCTTACTTTCTCCCTTCCTTCGCCTTTGCTCTGCTCCCATGCGGGTCCCTGCCTCCCTCTTTTTCCAGATAGAGCTGGGCTGGGGAAAGGGACTTAACCCTTAGCGTGCCTGGCTGCCTGGTGCCGTGCTTGTTGCTTTCGCTCTTTCCCATTTGTTCCCTGGTCACGGTTAACATACACCTTGGTGGCCACTTTTATAAGCTGGGTGGCATTCATGCCTGAAGTTTCCGCTTGATGTCACCCTGGGCTTGCCCTACAAATGCTGTGTTTACCATGTGCTGATTTTCAGCAGCCTCAGGGTCAAATGGGGTGTAAAACCAGGATGCTTCACAAAGTCTCTGATAAAAGTGACTTAGGCTCTTGTCAGCTCCCTGAAGCACTTCTGAAATCTTCCTTATATTAATTGCTTTCTTTTTATTAGCTCTTATCCCCTGCAAAAGCGACCTTTTGGTACCTCTGCAAACGCTGAAGCTGAGTTGCATCCTCCGGGTCCCCCCTGGGGTCTTGGTCTGGGAGCTGACCCTGAGCGTATGCCTGAGCATTCACTGTGTCTTCTGGTGCCTGGGCTTCCAGCCAGAGGCGAGCTGCCTGTGTTACTCTCCTGCACTCCTCAGTGTTAAATAATGTGAGGAGGAGCTGCCTGCAGTCTGGCCAGGTTGGATTGTGTGTCAGAAAGATGGATTGCCTCAGATCTATAAGAGCTTGGGGCTTCTCCATGTAGGAGGGAGTATGGTGTTTCCAGTTTAAAAGATCAGTGGTTGAAAAGGCTGGTAGACCAAAGTCTGTCGGCCCCCTGGACCTGGCTTTGGTCATCATAATAAATGGGTTCTCGTGTCTCCCTGAGAGGCATTTGCATAGCTCAAGCATGGCGAGATCTGAGATGACCTGCTTGACTATCTTGACTTCCTTCCCTGATCTCTCGAGGCTCCGATTCTCCCCTTTGGGGTGAAACTTGGGGCGTGCTAGCTCCTGAATCTGGTTCCTGGAGGGCTGTTAGCCTCGGTAAAGGGGGGTAGCCTGGGACATATGGAGAAAGAATCTCTGTTCCTTCTGGTAGCTCCTGCAAAACTGGCTTCTCTCGCTTTCTCTGGGACTTCCCTTTAACTCTGTGTCTGCCAGTGAAGCTGCTAAATAGGGCTGGATCCAGGCCGGTCTTGTCTGTGCTATATTTAACCATAAATCAATTTAAGGAAATTTGGGCACCCTGGCTGTCCTCCAACCCCTGTTACCACCTTAAATGCATGGCCAGTTATTCCTATCTATAGTTCTTTTGGTCAGCCATCCCACACTAAAAGGCCATTTTAATTCACAGAGAGTTCCCAACCTTTAGGGGGTTAGCTTAACTCCATAATCCCTTGCAAAACCTTTCTTAAAGTTTTGTAACGTGCACTCCAATGGAGTAAGTTTTGATGACTTTCCTCCTATCCTCCCTTTACGACGCCGCACAATCATTCTCGCACACTCACTCTTCCTCTCGTTTCGGCCGACTATACTGTCTCTTATTATGGGAGTTTTCAGATGCTGCTTGGCTTTGGAGAGTTCTTTATTTCTACTACAACTCTGAGCTGTAGGGCAGCTCCTATTAGCCATATGCAGATCGCCACTAGTCTTAGTTGACCCTACACTTTCTCAGAGCATATAGTCCATGCTAAGAGATCTGTGACTCCCAGCTTCGTGGCTGATTAGTCTAATTAGGCTCCTCCATTCACACATTTTCACACACTTTCCCACTCCCAGTTCCCGTGTTCATAACTGGGGTGGCGTGCCTCTCTTGCCCCCTCTAGTTTCCCAGTTGGGGTGGTGAGCCACTCTCGCCACCTCCAGTTTCCTAGCTGACTTAGCGAGCCACTCTGGCCACTTCCAGTTTCCTAGCTGACTTGGCGAGCCACTCTCGCCACCTCCAGTTTCCTAGTTGGGGTGGCAGGCCACTCTCACCACCTCCAGTTTCCTAGCAGACTTAGCGAGCCACTCCTGTGTCCTGTGTCAGCTAGGGTGTGAGTTTCATCCAAATTGACGAGCCACTCCAGGTGCCCCCAGCCCCTCTGAGTTGGACTATTCAGCCCACCCCGGGAGGTGATCAGGCTCCCCTTCCATCCCATTGGGACAGGTCCTGCCTTGGGCCCTAAAACCTTACTGCAGTTTCTGACGCATGCTATTTCTGAAATCGTCCTGTAGCCCTTCTTTAGGTTTCGTTGTGCTGCTGTGTAGGGGCACTGGGTCACGAGAGAGCTAATCTTCCCTCCGGGCTGAAGTTCTCCTGGCAGCGCCTGAGGTCACAGGTTTTCCGAGGCCCAGGGCTCCAACCCCTAGAGGCAAAGGAGACAGTAAGCCTGCCATCTCCCGTCCCTTCGTGGTCGCCAAAAATGTTGCAGGAAACTGAGGACCGGAGAGACTGATATGGAAAACAGGAGGATTGTTTATTTTAGGTACGCACTGGCTCAGCTTTTTGGATATAAGTCCACTGAGCCAGTGTGTACCTAAAATAAACAATCCTCCTGTTCTCCATATCAGTCTCTCCGGTCCTCAGTTTCCCACAACACTGTCTCAAACAAAAACAAGGCCAGGCACAGTGGCACTTGCCTATAATCACAGCACTTTGGGAGGCCAAGGCGGGTGGATCATCTGAGATCTAGAGTTCAAGACCAGTCTGGTCAACGTGGTGAAACCCTGTCTCTATTAAAAATACAAAAATTAGCCGGGCGTGGTGGTGCACGCCTGTAGTTCCAGCTACTCGGGAGGCTGAGGCGAAGAATCGCTTGAACCCAGGAGGCAGAGGTTGCAGTGAGCCTAGATCACGCCACTGCACTCCAGCCTGGGTGACAGAGCAAGACTCCGTCTGAAAACAAAACAAAAAAAATGAAAACAAACAAACAAAAAAAGTGCTTTTCACAGGAGGGATTATGAGAAAATCAAGAAAAAGCTTTTTTTTTTTTTTTTTTTAAGGCTGGTTAAGTGAAGGAGCGGTACTGGAGAAGGAACAAAGAAATCTGTAACTGGCCGTGATAAATTAGTTGTAAACACCACTGCAAGGAAAAGCCATGCTACATTCTTCTGTCAGTTAAAACTCAATGTCTGGGCTGGAAACACAATTGAATTAAGAAGTGGAGGCTCCATCTCAGTGAAAAATGTGGAAAACAGCATTTTTAATAAACTACCCAACACCAGATTAACTGGATTAAGGGAAGACTCTACGGGAATTTTAATGTGGAGATTATTTTCTTCCCTTCTGCCTTATTTCTGACACAGAAGATTTTAATTAAAAGAAAGATCACCGGGATGGTAATGAGATGATTATGCCAGACTAATTTTGACTCATAATAACAACCTTAATAATAATACCATCACAGGTTTTAATCTCTAATGTTATTTTAAAAATAGAATCATATCCTGAAGGCAAACCCCCTCCTTTTGGTGTTGGATTTAGTAGTCTAAATTCCATTATGATGATACTGACTTGTCTATTTCAATAAGTGAAACAAACATATACATAGACACACACACATTTTCCTGCCCCAAGAGACAAGCAAATTGAATTTATATCTACTTTCTCTGCAAAAATTGAGCTGGAAAAGCGAGGCATTATTCTCAGTGTGTATTGTCCATCAGGGATGGCAAATTTAAACAACTGTTTATGTGCCAGGAGGGTCGAGTCAGGTTTATGCATTAGAGATCACCCATCCACCCCATCTAAAGAGACAACATTGATTCACTCTAGCAGATGGCAGACCTCTGAGGGGATGAACACCCTGCTAGGCCTCCCAGTTTTTAAAAGTAAGCTGGCTGGCCAGGTGCGGAGGCTCACACCTGTAATCCCAGCACTTTGGGAGGCCGAGGCAGGCGGATCACGAGGTCAAGAGATCAAGACCATCCTGGCCAACATGGTGAAACCCCGTCTCTACTAAAAATACAAAAATTAGCCGGGCATGGTGGAGCACACCTGTAGTTCCAGCTACTCCAGAGGCTGAGGCAGGAAAATCATTTGAGCCCGAGAGGTGGAGGTTGTAGTGTAGGTTGTCTATTCATGCCCTTAGCCCACTTTTTGCAATTGTGAATTGTGCTGCTATAAACGTGTGTGCAAATATCTTTTTCGAATAATTTATTTTCCTCTGGGTAGATATCTAGTAGTGGGATTGCTGGATCAAATAGTAGTTCTGCTTTTAATTATTTAAGGAATCTCCACACTGTTTTCCATAGTGGTTGTACTAGTTTATATTCCCACCAGCAGTGTAGAAGTGTTTCATGTTCACCGCATCCACACCAACATCTATTGTTTTTTTTTTTTTTTTCATTTTTCTTTTTAGGATGGAGTCTGACTCTGTCACCCAGGCTGAAGTGCAGTGACGTGATCTCTGCTCACTGTAACCTCTGCCTTCCGGGTTCAAGCAATTCTTCTGCCTCAGCCTCCCGAGTAGCTGAGACTACAGGCACGTGCCACCACGCCCGGCTAATTTTTGTATTTTTAGTAGAGATGGGGTTTCACTGTGTTAGCCAGGATGGTCTGGATCCACCTGCCTTGGCCTTCCAAAGTGCTGGGATTACAGGTGCAAGCCACCGTGCCCAGCCACCAACACCTAATGTTTTTTGATTTTTTGAGTATGGCCATTCTTGCAGGAATAAGGTGGTACCGCATTGTGGTTTTGATTTGCATTTCCCCCATCATTAGTGATGTTAAGCATTTTTTTGTGTGTTCGTTGTCCATTTGTATATCTTCTTTTGAGAATTGTCTATTCATGCCCTTAGCCCACTTTTTGATGGGATTGTCTTTTTCTTACTGATTTGTTTGAGTTTGTTGTAGATTCTGGATGTTAGTCCATTGTCAGATGTATAGATTGTGAATTTTCTCCCACTCTGTGGGTTGTCGGTTTACTCTGCTCACTGTTCCCTTTGCCATGCTCTTTAGTTTAATTAGGTCCCAGCTATTTATCTTTTTTTTTTATTGCATTTGCTTTGGGTTCTTGGTCACGAAATCCTTGCCAATGTCTAGAAGGGTTTTTCCAATGTTATCTTCTATAATTTTTATAGTTTCAGGTCTTAGGTTTAAGTTCTTAATCCACCTTCTTCTTCTTTTTTTGAGATGGAGTCTCACACTGTCGCCCAGGCTGGAGTGCAGTGGCCCAATCTCGGCTCACTGCAAACTCCATCTCCCGGGTTCAAGCAATTCTCCCACCTCAGCTTCCCGAGTACCTGGGACTACAGACCGGTGTCACCATGCCCAGCTAATTTTTGTATTTTTAGTGGGGACAGGGTTGCACCATGTTGGCCAGGCTAGTCTCAAACTCCTGACCTCAGATGATCTGCCTGCCTCAGCCTCCCTAAGTGTTGGGATTACAGGCATGAGCCACCTCACCCGGCCCCTTAATCCATGTTGAGTTGATTTTTGTATAAGGTGAGAGATGAGGATCCAGTTTCATTCTCCTACATGTGACTAGCCAATTATCCCAGCACCATTTGTTGAAAAGGGTGTCCTTTTTCCACTTCATGTTTTAGTTTGCTTTGTTGAAGATCAATTGGCTGTAGGTATGTAGGTTTATTTCTGGGTTCTTTATTGTTTTCCGCTGGTCTATGTGCCCATTTTTATACCAGTACCAGCACCATGCTGTTTTGGTGACTATGGCCTTATAGTATAGTTTGAAATCAGGTAGTGTGATGCCTCCAGATTTGCTCTTATCCCTTAATATTAAATACTATAATTCTGAATTATCAAAAAGCCTTTAATACTTAACTTTATTTCTGGGTTTTGAGAGATACTTATTTACTAAAAATAAACCATTTTATCACTTCACATAATTTTAGTTCACTGGTTAATTCTATTAAATATTTAAAGAACTAATCCCAAGCCTACACAAGCTCTTTCAGAAAACAGAGCGTGGAACATTTCCCAACTAATTCTATGAGGCCACTATTACCCTGATAAAGGCATCAAAAGAAAAGAAAACTACAGAGTAATGTCCCTTATAAGCTCAGATGCACAAATCCTTAACAAAATATTAGCAAATAGGATCCATCAATACAAAAAAGGATTATGCACTGTGACCAAGTGGAATTTATCCCACATAATTTTGGAGGTTATCTTCCCATGTAATTTTGGGGATAACCCTCCCCTCCCATAATAAAATGTTAATAAATTGAACTCTGGATATCACTTATGGCTTTGTCTAGACAGTGAAAACTTTAACATAAAGTCATTGTACTGATGGGAAACTATTATTGTTGTATTAGAGTAATGAGAAGCAGAGGATGTTGAAAGGAGTCTCAGTTGGTGTGGGAGTGGAACTGCCCTATGTGTTCTTCTTGCCTGCTGCATAGATAGAGCCAATTTACTGAGACAGCATTACTGCAATACAGAAAGAGTTTAATAAATGCAGAGCCAGCTAACAGGAGACTGGAGTTTTATTGCTCAAATCAGTCTCCCCAAAAATTCAGAGACCAGGCTTTTTTAAGGATAATTTGGTGGGCAGGAACTAGGGAGTGGGGAATGCTGATTGGTCAGGTAAGGGATGAAATAATAGGCTGTTGAAGTGGGTTTTCCTTGCTGTCTTCCGTTTCCGAGTGGGATCACAGAACTAGCTGAGCCAGTTTACTGGTCAGGGTGGTGCCAGCTGGTCCATCAGAATGGGGGGACTGACTGAAACATATCTCTAACACCAATCTTAGGTTTTCAATAGTGATGTTATTCATAGGAGCAACTGGGGAGGTTGGGAATCTTATGGCCTCTGGCTACATGATGCCTGAGCCATGATTTGTAATCTGTAGCTACTTTGTTAGTTTTACAAAGGTGCGCTGGTCCCCAAGCCAGGAGGGGGTTTGTTTTGGGAACGTGCTGTTCTCATCTTTGTTTCAAAGTTAAACTATAAACTCAATTCCTCCCATAGTTAGTTCAACCTACACCCAGGAATGAACAAGGACACCTTGGCGGTTAAAAGCAAGATGGAGTCAGTTAGGTCAGATTTCTTTCACTGTTGTCATTTTCCTATGTCAGATTTTTCTCACTGTCATAATTTTTGCAAAGCCGGTTTTAGAAGAATCAGGGACTCAGGCTGACTCTAACAGGAGTATGATTTTGTGTCAGAGAAGAGGGCAGTTATAGAGGAATGTTCCAGAGGGAGAGGGAATGGAATGTGTAAAATGAACTTCTCTGTCTATTCTAATAAAAGGAGGGCTAGCCAGAAAGAAAGAGAACCAGAGGGAAAGAGCAAGGACAACCTACAGAAGCTTCTCCTTTAAGACCATGTATGAAACAATGAATAAAGCCCTCATCCACGCTGGCAGATGCTTAACAAGGTCAGTTTCTCTTCCCTTTAAGGATAATAATTTAAAAATAATCATACCATCTAGTAATTATATTTTACCTCTATTTAATCTTTAAAAGATCAGAATTAGGTTTCCTTTCCGTACTTCACAAATAAGCAGCACATCTGGCCAGCTCCCAAGAATTCGTCAAGGGTTATAAACATTGCATGGGCTGGACTAATTGTGGCTACTTTCATTCTCTCTGATAAGTTTCATTTCCTTCCCTGAAACTTCATGAACTTCCTTTGGGGTATAGCTAATGAAACCATGTGGGATGGGCTGAGACCTTTATCATCTTCAGACATTTGTGTTAAATTGAATATTGTGATGTATCTTTTATGGTCAGCCTTATCACATGCTAGCTCAAGGAGAACAGTTGCTAGCTCAGTTCGAGGCTGCAGAAAAATGGAAGAGAATGAAAGATGATTCTTGCCTTTGTGCAGTTAGCATTCTAGTTTGAAAATACAAACACAATGCACATAATGTAACATGTGACTACAAATCTGTAACTACCATGCATTGAGCAACTACTATGGGACAGACATTGTGCTTACATAAACACACACACTTTAATTCTCACAAAAACCAGGGAGGAGATAGGGTTAACCCCCCCTCCTGCCCCCACCCCTTTTATGAGAAAACTGAGACTTAGAGAAATTGACTCCCCTAAGGTCACCTAGCTAGACAGTGGTGGAACCAGGTTTCAAACTCAGGCAGAGATGTTCCAGGACAAAAGCAGCTTCAGTGAATAGTTGTAGCAAGTTTTAAGGACTGAGAAATTTATATTGAATTTTTCTGCGGCCTTAGGCAAGTTATTTCATTTATAGAAGCCTCGTTTTTCCTTATCTGTGAAATGGCTCTTTCTTCATTGGGTTGTTCTGAGAGTGAATGAGATGATGCATGAAGCCCGGCAGCACATTTCAAATGTATAATAAAAGGTCGGTAAGGTCAATAAGTGAATCAATGAACTCACATCACTGGTAACCCCTCGAACTCACATCACTGGTAACCCTCAGAGGGGACTCAGGCTCCTCAAATCTCAGGATCTGCGTCGACTACAGACCTCACTGTTTTTCTTAAACAAAAATCCTGAAATCCAGGCTGGGCGCAGTGGCTCACGCCAGTAGTCCCAACACTGGGAAGCTGAGGCGGGAGGATTGCTTGAACCCAGTAGTTCAAGACCAGCCTGGGCAACACAGTGAGACCTTGTCTCTTAACAACAAGTCCAAAGGGAATCATGGCCTCCACAATCCCAGTACAGCTAAACAGTTAACTGCCCACGTTCTTTTCCTTAATTCTATACAACCTCCCTGGGGTTTCTGGTTCTTTGGCAAGTGAGAGACGTGCTCCTCAACACTGGGTGAGCACACCGGGCTTGAATTTTAAAAAAGGAGAATCCGCCGGGCACGGTGGCTCACGCCTGTAATCCCAGCACTTTGGGAGGCCGAGGCAGGCGGATCACTTGAGGTCAGGGGCTCGAGACCAGCTTGGGCAATATGGTGAAACCCCGCCTCTAGGAAATAATTTTTAAAATAAGCTGGGTGTGGCGGCGTGCGCCTGTACTCGAGGAGGCTGAGGCATGAGAATCGTTTGAGCCCAGGAAGTCGAGGCTGCGATGAGCGGCGATAGCGCCACTCACTCCAGCCTGAGCGACAGTGAGACTGTCTCAAAAAAAAAAAAAAAAAAGTAAAAGCTCTCAGGGAGCGACTTTTCCCTTGGATAAGGCAGCCACACGCTAAGTCCCCTCTCCATCGGGGACCCTGGGGACAAACAGAACGGTGCGCATTTCCCTCCCCCGTCCCCATTCGGTCACTGCCACGGGCTGTACACCTGAGGGGGAAGGACGGGGGCGGCGGCGCGAGGAGGAAGGGCTTCGCCGCCAATCTGTCCCTAACCAGTCTGCCTCTCAACCCCTGCCTGAGGCGGAGGCGGTGCCCGGGGCGGGCCAAGCGTGACCGCGGGTCGGCGGGGCGTGTTTAAGACCGCGGCGTGCGCACCCGGCCCACGCCAGCTCCCGGCCGCGGCACAGCAGCCCCGGCGCTCCCCGCGCCGCCCCGCGCAGGCGCCCCCGCCCCGCCGTCGCCGCCGCCGCAGCCAGGAGCCGCTGCACCATGCCCCGCATAGATGCGGACCTCAAGCTCGACTTCAAGGATGTCCTGCTCCGACCTAAGCGGAGCAGCCTCAAGAGCCGAGCCGAGGTGGGGGACGTTCGGAAGTCGCAGTGGGGTGGGATTTTTTTTTCCGGGTGGCGCGGGGCAAGTGGGTGGAAGGGGGTGGCACCGGGTTACCCTGCCTGCTTTGGTGTTTGAGACTGGGGCGCTGCGCCCCCGTTCCCGCGCCCCAGCACCTGCCAGGACGTGAGGTGTCTTTAAGGGCGGTGATACGGGGGCCCATGAAATTCTCTACACGTCGGTCCCGTTGGGTGGCCTAGGGGAAGTTCACAGTGAAACTCGACCACAGATGAGCGAGATCCAGTGGCCAGTTGGTTTAGAAGGAATAGGGGTACGAGGGCGCTTATAGCAAGAAAAGGAAACTGGAGCTAGGGGAGAGAGGACGAGAAAAACAACTGCAGATCCCGGTGATTTTTGGCTGCGTCTCCTAGTGCTGATAATTGCTGCTGCTTTCGCTTCGGGTCCAGCGGTGGAACTTCGTGAACGCGTCTGAAAAACCAGAACCCAGGGCACAAGTTCAGGGTTTCCTTTCTGAGTTTGGCGGCCTTGCTGGCAGTGGGGCTTGGGGACTCAGCGGTACTGGACAGCCCGCGGTCCCAGCCTAGCCCTGGAGAAGAGTTTCGAAAGCTTTGGGGTGAGAGAGGTGGGGGCGAATTGGAAGCCTCGGGCATTTCCCTGGTTCTGCCTGGATGTCCTCAAATCCTAAGGAACAGGTGGAGACCGGACTGGAAATAGCCTGAGGCTGGGGGAAGGGAGGCCAGTCCCTGAAGGATAAACTAGTTGCCTGAAAGGCAGAGTGCCCCGGGGTGGTGTGCGCTGGTGACTGGCTTTGCTGAGAGCTGGAGAGGAAGGTGAGGAAACCGGACACGGTTGAAGGCTGGGGCTGAAGGAGTAAACACGAGGAGGCTGGGCCAACCTGCACAGCTCCGTCCACTCAGCTCCACAAACAAGACCATAAATAAATCCCCTCAGCAAAGAAGTCCGCTGCCCACTCCGGTGCCAGGCCTAACTGCAGTGCCTGGGGCTGCCAGCCGAGGGCTTGCTTGGATTGGGGAAGCCTCCGCGTTAGCCAATGACTAAACCAAGTGGCCTTCTGTAAGCAGCAGCATTGGCTGGTTTGGAGCCCGGCAGGACTGGAGGACGTAGGGGAGGAATGATTAAAACTTATCGCCCCAGATTGGGTGACCCTGTGCCTGTCCCTCATGACCTTTCAGGTGCTAAAGAGGGGGCCTCTCTTGGAACAAAAACAGTTTGGAGGGCAGGCCTGGGCCTCTGGAAGCATGAGCTGTAGCCAATTCCTAAGGCAAGACCAAGATGAAATAGGGGGATTCTGGATGTGCTAATAATTTGGTGGCCTCAATATTCTTTAAATATTCAAAATGTATTTAGAAGAGAGAAACTCATTTTTCAGAAAATTGGATGTTCAAAACAAAGATATACCTATTTTCTGAACCAGAAAACATGTTGAGAAGGTAAAATATTGAACATTAATGTAATAGGGCCAGGCACAGTAGCTCACACCTGTAATCCCAGCACTTTAGGAACCTGAGGTGGAAGGATTGCTTGAGGCCAGGAGTTCGAGGCCAGCCTAGGCAACAAAGCAAGACCTCAGCTCTACAAAAATTTAAAAAATCAGCCAGGGCAGTTGTGCACACCTCTAGTCCCAGCTATTTGGAAGGCTGAGGCGGGAGGATGGCTTGAGCCCACGAGCTGGAGATTACAACAAAAATTTAAAAAATTAGGGCAGTGGTGCTCACCTGTAGTCCCAGCTACTTGGAAGGCTGAGGCGGGAGGATGGCTTGAGCCCAGGAGCTGGAGGTTACAGTGAGCTATGATGGTGCCACTGCACTTCAGCCTGGACAACCCTGTCTCTAAAGCTAAAATGAAATTTATGTAATAGAATGAATTACTCCTTCTCGGGGAATACTATCACATCATGCGACAATGTCATGCAACACTTGGCTTCATAATTTGGGCAGATTGTAACTAATGTTCCAGTTTGGGATAGCATCTTTGCAATCTTCATGTACACATTGCAGTGAGAACTCAGTGCCCTTGAGGAGTCTCTTTTGTATTTTTATGTTCGTGGGAGTTTGCCAGCCACGGGCCTGGAGACTCAGGTTAACCAGCATTGCCTTTCTAATCGGTTGCCGTGATGGTTTAGCTCCCTGATGCGTGAGGCTGCTGCCTGGCTGGCCACCCCCATGATCTGACTTTACTTGCCTCGGTGGCGTTGAGGGATCTAGTTAGGCCTCCCTAATCCCCTCTCAATGTTTTCTCAGTTTGCTTGTTGATGCCTGAAATTTTTCACAGGCAGATAAAAACTTTTCCTTGCACAATCAGAAGCTTAAAATATGTGCATCCTGGCAGAAGTAATATCTGGAGGCAAATTGGAAACTGAAGGGTAGATGACCGACATTGAGCCTAACAGCAGATTTGTACAGAGCCAGGAAAGAGAACGTACACCCTGGGAGTAGAGTCTGGCTGAGGGAGGAGGGTTTTGACAGCTGATGATGGGCTTATCCTCGTGACAGTTTTGCTAAGAGCCAGGCCCAGCAATGGATCATCAGGCTATAGCAGGAAACGGACAGTAAGAGTGATCTCCCCCTCAGAAGCTTCAGGACTCCTGCAAGGACATTTCCACCAGCCTTCCATAAATGAACATGAATGAGATGAATCTGAGGTCACCTCTGAGAGGCAAAGAATACAGGTAGCAGTGGCCCAGGTGGCCTTCGCCTGGATTCTCCAGGGAGGCATTCATCTCTCAAATGTCCAGCCCCTGGCATGGAAGAATAAAGCGCCACAGGGTCATGTGGGGACATTTGGATAATCTTTTTCTGAGAAGTGATGAGTTTGTGGATTGAGACAAGACCTTTGTTTTCATCTGTTACGCTGGGGAGCCTGCATTCTCCCTGAGTGTTTTCTTCCTTAGTACCCATTTCTGGCTCTAACATTCTACTCTAGTCCTTAAGCTAGTAAGAATGTACTTATTTATTTATTTATTTAGAGACGGAGTCTCACTCTGTCACCCAGGCTGGAGTGCAGTGGTGTGATCTTGGCTCGCTGCAACCTCCGCCTCCTGGGTTCAAGCGATTCTCCTTCCTCAGGCTCCCGAGAAGCTGGGATTACAGGCACCTACCACGCTCTGCTAATTTTTGTATTTTTAGTAGAGATGGGGTTTCACCGTGTTGGCCAGGCTGGTCTTGAACTCTTGACTTCAGGTGATCTGCCTGCCTCAGACTCCCAAAGTGCCGGGATTACAGGTGTGAGCCACTGCACCCAGCTGATAAGAATTAAAACAAAAACAAAAAATAAACCCCTAAAAAACTTATTAATAAATTATCAGGCATTGAAGAGAATCGCAGCAAATTACTCATTTTGTTTAAGGACAGAGAAGACACAACAGATGTTCAGTCTGCTTAAAACTTCATAGCAGTTTTTTCCCCAGCAGTCCCGTGAGAAGAGTTCTGGTCTAGCTTTCACCGTCTGCTACTGGTTGGCCTGAGGGGGATGAGAACATGGCAGAGTGGCTGGGAGGAAGGATACCTGTGTTTTAGTCCAAGCTCTGTCACTAATTACTTTTTTTTTTTTTTTTTAACCTTTGCCTGTATGCTGGTTTCCTGGGGCTGCTGTAACTGAGGACCACATACTTGGTGGCTTAAGTAACAAGAATTTATTATCTTACAGTTCTGGAAGGTAGCAGTCCCAGTCCAAGATGTTGGCAGGGTTGATTCCTTCTGAGGGCTGGGAGGGAGATTCTGTTTCTTGCCCTTCTCCCAGCTTCTGCTGGTTTGCTGACAGTTGTCCCCAATCTCTGCCTTCATCTCCACATGAGGTTCTCCCTATGTGTGCATCTGTGTCCAAATTTCTCCTTTTTATTTTATTTTTTATTTATTTTTTTTGAGAAGGAGTTTCGCTCTTGTTGCCCAGGCTGGAGTACAATGGCGTGATCTTGTCTCACCGCAACCTCCGCCTCCCAGGTTCAAGCAATTCTCCTGCCTCAGCCTCCCGAGTAACTGGGATTATAGGCATGCACCACCACGTCCAACTAATTTTGTATTTTTAGTAGAGACAGGGTTTCTCCATGTTGGTCAGGCTGGTCTTGAACTCTCGACCTCAGGTGATTCGCCTGCCTTGGCCTCTTAAAGTGCTGGGATTATGTGCCCTGAAATTTATCCTTTTTATAAGAACATCAGTCATATTGGACTAGGGCTCACCCTCTTGATCTCACCTTAGCTTGATCATCTGCAATGACTCTGTTAACTAAGTAAGGTCACATTTACAGGTACTGGAGGTTAGGACTTCAACATTTTGGGGGCGGGGGGGAGACATAATTCAACCCATAACAGACAGCCTTTGTAAATTTTGGTTTGGAAAATTAAAGAGTTTGGCGCTGTTCTGAGTCATGAATGCGTTAGAATCGCCTGGGGAAACACTCCAAAATACACATAATATGTCCAGCACAAAGGTGGTGATTCATGAAGTTTGAGGCAGCTGGAGCACGAGTATTTTGGAACCAGTTCTAAGAGGATTCTGATGTGTACCCGGGTGTGCTGGACCAGCCTCTGAAGCCCTTTCCATTTGTGGAACCCTGCGGCTCTCTGGTAGCACTGCAGCTGGGCATGAGCTTCTCACGAGCCTGATAACTGATGGTGAGGCTTTCAGGGCTTGGATCCACATTCAGAGGTCTGGGCTGGGGCCACCAAACACTGCAAAAGGCTGGGGGCCAGAACACAGTATTCTTACCTTTTAGCCAGCCATTAGTTTACCCCATGCTTTTTGAGCCACTAGGACTACAAAGTTGGAAGACGTCCCTGTACTCAGACAGGTGTTACAGCTAATGAGCGATCTATATAATAGATTATGTAATAAAATACAATATGTAAAAGAATTGCTTTACTCGGTACCATCTGTAGATCTAGGAAAAGGAGCCTCTGTCCTGGGTCCCACGTCTGCCCCCCAAATTGCATCCCTCCTCACTGGGCAGGGCCTGTGGGCTATGCTGTTCCTTAGGCCACGCTCCAAGTACTCAGGATCCTGGATCTCCTTCCCCAAGTAACTTTGAGCTGATTCTAAGGCCTGCATGGGCCTCTTGCCCTGGTGTGTTTCCAAGGGCCACCCATGATGCTGGTGTGCTCACCTCCAACCCAGAGTGGCTAAGTGGCAGTTGTTCATGGAAAAGTACGTGGGTATGCACACAGCTTTGTGTGCTGACTGAAGGTGGGGGCCTTTTCCTCTGTGCACACATAAGGATTTGGGTGAGAAGGGAAGAGGGGTGGACTGGGGGCCAGGGCCGGCTCCCCGCTACCATGTTCTGGTGCCTTTCTGGTTGTGAATGAAATTGCTTTTTTTTTTTTTCAGGGTAGGAGGTTAGAACCTATTTTATGTAGCAGTTTGTTCGTTGGACTTACCACATTGAATTATTTAGGAATGTGGTAGGTTGTCCTCTATTTGTACTTTTTTTTTTTTTTTTTTTGAGACAAGGTCTCACTCTTGTCACTCAGGCTGGCATGCAGTAGCATGATCATGGCTCACTGCAGCCTCAGCCTCCGGTGTTCAATCAATCCTCCCACCTCAGCCTCCTGAGTAGCTGGGACTACAGGCTCGCACCACCCAAGCCTGGCTAGTTTTTTCTATTTTGTGTAGAGATGGGGTTTCACCGTGTTGCCCAGGCTGGTCTTGAACTGAGCTCAAGCAATCTGCCTGCCTCAGCCTCCCACGGTACTGGGATTACAGGTGTGAGCTACCACGCCAGCCCATTTGCACTTTTGAGCCCCTGACATGTTGGGTGGCAGGACTGGCTTTAATGAAGGCCTGTTAGAGAGCAGCAGAGATGTGTGTTTGTGGGTGGGGGAGGGGACTTTGTTACTTTATGTTCCCTTTCAGGTCAGGCTTAGACAGGGAATCTAATCTATATTTGGCGTATTGGCCGGCTGTGCCAGACTAAGTGCCAAGTGTTGTTCCTGGGAGGCTGAAATATTTAAAATATTTATCTCTGCTAGTGAACAACTGGCCTGGGTTATGTGTGTGTGTCTGGGTGGATAAAGTTGGGGAAGATCATTTTATTTTTCATTCTTAGAATTAACGATGGCAAAGAGCTAGCTCATAAAAAGGACTGGAAATGAGGGGAAGCGTTTACTGTTAAGGCTGCCCTTTTCCATGAAGAGCTCTGTGTTTTGTGTCCTGCTGATAGGTTTTGGAGTGCCAAGAAAAACCCATTGTGATCTCAGCCGGGTGCAGAGTGTAGCAGCTAGCCCCATGCCTGTTGGAGGATAGAAGAGTAATTTGAGACCAAGGAATTGATTGTTTCAAGCCTGCCAAGCCAAATGTTACAGAGCCATTAGCCACACACAGGGTTGCTATGGGTAGGTCCCTTCAGTTCTCTTTCAGAATGTCACTATAAACGTGCTCCACTGAAG
The DNA here is from genome assembly GCF_000001405.40 of Homo sapiens. NCBI lineage: Eukaryota > Metazoa > Chordata > Mammalia > Primates > Hominidae > Homo > Homo sapiens. Next base: position 16,245,173 of record NC_000006.12, read on the forward strand.
TAGAACCCAGAGTCATCAGGAAGGAGGTGGAGAAAGGGACGTGCCACTGCGTAGGTTCGTGCACTTCCAGCATCTCATTTCTCCTCACTGATGGCTGTGTGAGGCCTGTGCAGTCATGTTTATGACATCATTCACCCAGGACGCCTTCTGGACACAAAACCCGGTGTTGAGAAGCAAGAGAAATGTAAAGGCTAAAGGGCCAGAGCGGTCCCATGGTGTTTTCTGACTTAATGCTGATCGCAAAGTGAAAGTTGCCTCAAGTGAAAAAAATGAGAGGAGCATCTAGGTAAACACTGGCAGAAAATGACTCTTGCTGGTGTAATTCATGAAGCCAGGGTTAATGTAGGTCTAAGTTACTGCAGAAGCATAAGATTCATACCTGTGCTCCTCTGGCCAGTTCCCCTTGGGGAAGCACCCACTTCTAATGTAGTTTGTGTCTATCGGAGTCCAGCCAGAGAAACAAACGATGCTGACTGTTTAAAACATGGAATTGAATGCGGGGCATTCTGACACAACTGAGGATATTAAGGCACCCCAGAGATCAGCAACAGCGAGAAGCCACCCCTTCCTTAGGGTGAGGGTCGGAGGGAGAAGACAGTGCTCTGGAGCCCAGGAAGGGACTGGGCTTGCTTAGGGAAAGCTGGAACAAGGAATACGCAGGCCTCTCTGGTCGGAGGATCCAGGCCCGGAGGCAACCCAGCTGTTCTGGAGAAGCTGTCTAAGGCAGAGGGGTTCTGGGAGAACTACCCTGACTTCCGCCAACCTCTGCCTGCCACTGTCCTCCAGTTTCCCACCCAGTGTCCTCCATTGGCCCATCCCAGCCAGAAATGAACTTGAGAAATGGAGCCTGTAGCAGTTAGCCTTCCTGGGATAAGAGCAGGCTGAGGATGGTGGGTGGGCAGACAGGCTGGCATCTGCCGTGGGTCAGAGAAGTAATTCGGACTCTTCTAGCTCTTGGTGAGTTCCTGGCTCTATCTAGCACGTGGCTTCTGTCAAGCCCACCCTTGTGACTGTGTTGTTCTGGATTGCCGATAGCAAGGTTAGTCCTACATGCCCCGATCTTGAAGTTGCAGGAGAATTGGAGCCCCCTGACCTCCCCACCCAGCTGCTTGCAAGTCAAAGGAACAAGTGTTGATATGCAGGAACATATGGTTGCAATGTACTTTCCACCAGCTTTTTGAAAGATCCTCATAATTAAAGCAGCCGTGGAGGGTAAAAGGCGAAGGGATTAATTGTGTGGCGCTCACTGCAGGGTGAATTTGGAGTGTGGCTCTAGGTGAAAGGTAAGAAGTGAAGGGATTGTTCCAGGAGGAGGGCCATGGTTGGCAAGGAAGAGTGGAGCAGATCCTCCCAGGAGGGGAATGGTTTCTATAGGGCTTGCGGGTGGGGCGAAGATAACATGTATGTGGGTCTTTAGGGAAGTGGATAGAAGGAGGCAGTGGGGTTGGAGAGGCTGGGAAAGTAGGAGAGAGCTTCCGATTCCGAGGCTTGTCTTGACGGCGGAATTTCCGCTCTGGTGTCTTTGGAATACCTGTCTTTGACCCCTAAGAGAATCCAGGGACCTTTGTCTTGTTCCTACTCGCTCCAAACTCCAGAAATTCTGCACATTTCACATAAGAGCAAAGCACTCATTTCTTTCCCTTTTTCTTTCTTTTTTTTTGGCCAACAGGTGGATCTTGAACGCACCTTCACGTTTCGAAATTCAAAGCAGACCTACTCAGGGATTCCCATCATCGTGGCCAACATGGACACTGTGGGCACGTTTGAGATGGCAGCCGTGATGTCACAGGTGAGGCGGTAGGCTTTTGTTTTTTCCCTTTGCTGCTCACACTGTGGACAGGTTATCAGGAGCCGACCCTGGCTTTATTCAGACACAAGGAAGAGTAGAAATGTGAGCTGCTTTGGGTCATTCTCTGTCTTTCCCTTCAATCAGAAAGTGGACGGTGTCTGGACTTTGGGTTCAATGAGAAGGTCTAGATCTGCATCCATTGCTTCTGTGAAAATGACTGTGATGGTTTTGGAAATTAGAGATACAAAAAGAAGCTAGACAACATGAAGAGTGCCATATTGCAGAAAAGTGACAACCCCTTTAAAATTAAGACAGAGCTGCTTTGTATGCAGTCCGTGCTGCAGCATTTACTGTATAATTATGTTGAATACATGTATCGAGCGCTTATGTACGAAACACTGCAGATAATGTATTTCTTTTTTTTTTTTTTTAAGACAGAGTCTCACTGTGTCGCCCAGGCTGGAGTACAGTGACGTGATCTTGGCTCACTGCAACATTCGCCTCCCTGGTTCAAACAATTCTCCTGCCTCAGCCTCCCAAGTAGCTAGGACTACAGGCACATGCCACCATGCCCAGCTAATTTTTGTATTTTTAGTGAAGATGGGGTTTCACCGTGTTGGCCAAGCTGGCCTTGAACTCCTGACCTCAGGTGATCCGCCTGCCTTGGCCTACCCAAGTGCTGGGATTACAGGCATGAGTTACCATGCCCGGCCTGTATCTCTTAATTCTTGACGCAACTCAACAAGATAGGTTCCTTTTACAGATGAGGAAACTGAGGCAGAGAGGGGAGGGGTAGGTCACTTGCCCTAGGCCCTCAGCCAGATGTATACAGAGAGAGAATCAGGATTCCAGCTGAAACTGACTCTAGAATCTAAGGAATTTACCCCTTAACTTAAATGGATGATCACATTGAAAGCTCAAAGTCTCTTTTAGCCAAGTACACCAGCCTAATTTTCTGTAAAGAGGGTAGCTAATATCCTTGCTTTGGCTGGGCATAGTGGCTCACACCTGTAATCCCAGGATTTGGGGAGGTGGAGGCAGGCGGATTGCTTGAGCTCAGGAGTTCAAGACCAGACTGGGCAACATGGCGAAGCATCATTTCTACAAAAAAATATGAAAATTGGCCAGGTGTGGTGGTGTGAGCCTGTAGTCCCAGCTACTCGGGAGGCTGAGGTGGGAAGATCACTTGAGCTGGGAGGCGGAGGTTGCAGTGAGCCAAGATTGCGCCACTGCACTCCAGCCTGGGTGACAGAGCAAGAAGACCCTGTCTCAAAAAAAAAAAAAAAAAAAAAAAAAAATTCATTGTATAGATCAATCTGAGAAGTACTGTTTGTTAAAATAAAATTAAAAAAAAATTAAAAATGGTGTCCTCGCTTTGGGAAAAATAAAGGAAAACCCATTTGTGGGCAGGACATTTATGGGTGAGGTGCAGAGCGTCTTCTGCATCCTAGATGTGGAATGTCTGCTGCACTCAGGGGTTCTGTCTTTCCTGTGGATAATGCCTGCCAAGTGAAAAGATAAATCCAATTAGTTGAGAGAGCTTCTCACTGTGGGCAGCAAGTCTGACCACAGGAGACACTGAGATTCATTATTAGCCAGTGATTCGACGGAAAATATTCTCAAATAAATTATGAGCTCCCAAAATGGAGTAGGGGTGGTCTGTCGGATTCCGTGATCACTTGCATTGTCTGTCAGACCTCAGCCCCTACTGAGCGTTGGGCCAGAGGCTAATAAATTAATTGCTAAGGAACTGGTATTTTTTTCTCCTCACCCTTTCCCTGCTCTGCTCTGTCATCAGCCATTGCTACTAATGAATTATGTGTTAGTATAAAAGTGAGGGGAACCAGGGAGCAGTCAAGTCTGATTAATTCACATAATAGATTATAGTCCAGGAAAAACCTAGGACTCGCTGTGCTCTTCCCATTTTCCTAGGAAGTCTCCCTGCTAACAGAATAGCATAGACTGGTGTAGCTAACCATGGGTGGCTACTGTGAATTTTCCGTTTCTAGGATCCATAGAACTAGCACAAGTTACTAAAGTCATAGAAGTTTAGAATGAGAAGTTGTAGATGGGGACATAGGTAGCCCCAGAGAAGTTAGGTGGGAGGCTTCTGTTAAAGGGCAAGGTGTCCAATCTCCGTAGTCAGATCCAAGTTTGACTCTGGCCTTTTCCTCTTCCCCGCCATGCAGTTGTTACATTTTGTAATTTTTTTTTTTTTTTTTTTTTTTGAGATGGAGTTTCACTCTTGTTGCCCAGGCTGGAGTGCAATGGCACCATCTTGGCTCACCGCAACCTCCATCTCCCAGGTTCAAGTGATTCTCCTGCCTCAGCCTCCTGAGTAGCTGGGATTACAGGTGCTCTACCATGCCCGGCTAATTTTTTGTATTTAGTAGAGATGGGGTTTCACTATGTTAGTCAGGCTGGTTTTGAACTCCTGACCTCAGGTGATCCACCCACCTCAGCCTCCCCAAATGCTGGGATTACAGGAATGTGCCACCACGCTTAGCAAATTTTAAAAGTTTGATTTGTTTTATGTTTTTTAAATAGACATGGGGTCTTGCCATGTTGCTAGGCTGGTCTCAAACTCCTGGGCTTAAGTGATCCTCCTGCCTCGGCCTCCTAAAGTGCTGGGATTACAGGCGTAAGCCACCATGCCTGGGCAACTTAAACTGCTTAAGCTCCATTTATGCCCACGAAGCTAATAATGCTGTTCAAAGTTGTTCCAAAAATTAAATGAAACGACTGACACAAAGCGGGTCATAAATGCTGGGGCAGTAGTCATAGGTTTAGGGTTATACTTTATATAATTCCCACCGGCAAGATTTAATGGATTTACCTTTTAGCAAGAAGTGTTCCGGTTGTGAGCACAAGAGAAAGCTTTCAGGGATAAGGTGGGGTTCTTCAGGGTCGGCTAAGCAGAAGTTTGTGTTAGGATGGTCCTTCTGGGCAGGGGACCTGCTGCCTGGTTTTCTCTTTGGACCATCAGTGCTGCTTTTGGCCTAATACAGGTGTGGGTGGGAGCCTGGGTGGGCTGGGTAGGGCTCTGAGAATTCTCTTTTATCCCTCTCCTGCCTCCTGGCAGAGCCTCCCTAGTCCTGAATGCGGTATTGTCTAACCAGATTAGAATGGGAAACAGGGTTTTATGATTTCAATGGTTGTACCTTTGTTTGGTTTTGGCTGCTAGGAGCACATTCAAAGCAAATTAAGCATGGATGGCAGGAACACTGATGCCTTTGTCTTGTTGGATCACCACCTCCAGATGGAGGAGGGAGGGGGGCTCTCACTTGGCTTCCCATCCTAATGGTGCTGTTTTGTTTTCTAGCACTCCATGTTTACAGCAATTCATAAGCATTACTCCCTGGATGACTGGAAGCTCTTTGCCACAAATCACCCAGAATGCCTGCAGGTACGACTACAGCCTGGTTATCAATTACCAGTGCTGCAGGGGGGAACAAAATCTTCAGAGCTGTCAAGAGGATTTCAGTCAGTAGCAGAGAGACATTGAGAGTTCGGTGTTTCTCTAGCCCTGTGCCATTGCCAGGGATTTGCTGAGAAAACTTGTTTCCATATTGTATTATTAAAATACTAGGATTTATCTGTAAGAAATGTCTGTTTTCCCCTGAAAGATGAAGTGTGTTATATCCCAAGAGCTTGGGGAAGACCTGTGTTTCCTGCCAGGTAATTCAAGGTAGATCCAGTCTTTTGGCTGTAGAAAAAACTTCTGAGTATAACAAGGTGCTTTAGAGTTGAGTAAACATTATTCCCACCAGGATGGCTGTCATCAAAAAGACAGATAATAGCCAGGCACCGTGGGTCATGCCTGTAATCCCAGCACTTTGGGAGGCTGAGGTGGGAGGATTGCTTGAACCCAGGAGTTCAAGGCCAGCCTGGTCAACATAGTGAGGGGTCTCTTTTTAAAAAAAAAAAAGACAATAAATGTTGTTGAGGATGTGGAGGAACTGGAACCCTTATTCACTGCTGGGAATGGAAAATGGTGCAGCTGCTTTGGAAAACAGTTGTCAGTTCCTGGAACGTTAACCATAAGAGTTGCCATGTGACCCAGCAATTCCATTTCTAGGTATAGACTCAACAGAAATTAACACATTTCCACAGAAAAACTTGTACATGAATGTTCATGGCAGCGTTATTCATAATAGCCCAAAAGTAGACACAACCCAAATGTCTATCAGTGGGTGAAAGGACATACAAAATAAGGTATATCCATACAGTGGAATATTGTTCAACCGTAAGAAGGAGTCAAGGTCTGATACAGGCTACAGCATGGATGAACCTTGAGGACATTTCACTAAGTGAAAAAGCCAGACGCAGCCCGGCGCGGTGGCTCACGCCTGTAATCCCAGAACTTTGGGAGGCCGAGTCGGGTGGATCACCTGAGGTCGGGAGTTCGAGTCCAACCTGCCCAACATGGAGAAACCCTGTCTTTACTAGAAATACAAAATTAGCCGGGCGTGGTGGCGCATGCCTGTAATCCCAGCTACTCAGGAAGCTGAGGCAGGAACATTGCTTTAACCCCGGAGGCAGAGGTTGCAGTTAGCCACGATTGTGCCATTGCACTCCAGCCTGGGCAACGAGAGCGAAACTCTGTCTCAGAAAAGAAAAGGCCACACGCAAAGGCCAGAGCATCTATGATCCTATTTCTAGGAAATGTCCAGAATAGGCAAATCTAAGTCATAAAATAGATTAGTGGCCTGAGGGGCTGAGGAAGTTTGAGAGGGAGTGTGGTTAAGGGGTATGAGACTTTCTTTGGGAGGGTTATGAAAATATTCTAAAATCTATCATGATGGTTACAGAACTCTAAATATACTAAAAATCATTGAATTGTGCATGTTGAATGGGTGAACTGTATGGTATGTCATTATATTTCAAGAAGCCATTAAAAAAAAACAACAGAAAGCCTTGCTGCAACATGCCTGCACTTGCTCCTGCCACATTCAGGTGGTTCTGAGCTGAAGCCACAGACAGGTCTCCCTGGGTTAGAGGTGTTCCCTGCTGGTCAGATCATTTATGATTGGAAAATGACTTCAGGTCGTACTGTTTTCAAGGTCTCACTGGCTTTTTGGGGTTGTCGTTACTGTGCTTTAATTATGTGTGGATTTTGATTAGTGAAAAAGTGGTTTTGGATATAAAATAATTCTGACTCAATAGTAAGTCCTTCATTTTTGCCATATTGTGTTCAAGTGAATTGTGTTTGTTTTCACTTTCTTCTGTTTTTCCCTATAATAAGTTTGGGAATAATGATTTTCTTTTTGTCTTTTTCTCAGACCTCCCTCTAACTTCTTTTATTTTTTTTGTTTGAGGCAGAGTTTTGCTCTTGTCACCCAGACTGGAGTGCAATGGCGTGATCTCTGCTCACTGCAGCCTCCACCTCCCGGGTTCAATTGATTTTCCTGCCTCAGCCTCCTGAGTAGCTGGGATTACAGGTGCGCAACACCTAGCCTGGCTAAATTTTTGTATTTTTAGTAGAGACAAGGTTTCACCATGTTGACCTGAAATGATCCACCCACCTCGGCCTCCTAAAGTGCTGGGATTATAGGCATGAGCCACCATGCCCGGCCTCCCTCCACCTTCTTTAAGGGAGTTTTTGGCAATGTATTGTTAACTGGAACTGTGGCTTTCATTACCAAGTGTGATACATCGACTTACTACACAGCCCGCCACCAAATAAAAGGCGAATTCAAAAGGGATAATGTTAAAAACTTAGTAGCAGTGAGAGAAGGCAACCAATCTCAAGTTCCATATAGTATACTTAGACAGAAATGAAGTAAGATAAAAAAAGCAGAGCTCTGGTGGGAGGGAGAGTGGGCTTGTGTGGATTGGGCTGGCACAGGGCAGAGCTGTGAACCACGAGGCCCAGGCGTGAATGCACAGAGAAGGCTGGAGTAAATATGTGTCATGTTAACCATCAGCTCACTCTCAGTCTCTGCACTGCAGCCACATTGTTATCATTTGGGGGAATAACATAAAGGATATTAAGATAGGCCACTCATATGTGGCCCAGGGTTTAGAGATAAGAGTTAAAATATAAACAATCCATGTCTTAGTTTCACTAAGGCATAAATTAGTGAAAGCAAGTCCTTGCCCAAGGGGCAGATGTTCAGAGAAGGGAGAGGTGTGAGGTTCAGGGGCACTGGTGGAAGTTAAGGGACAAGGGTGTTACAGGGGAGAATGTGGTGGCTTCAGATTTAAACATGTACAAGTGTAGTTGTGAAAGATCATGTCAGGCTTGTTTGTTTTCACACCTTGGGAAATTTTATCCCTTTAATAGGAAAACAGATTTGCAATTCTGTGTACAGGTTGAGATTTGCATGCTGTATTAGGTTGTTCTTGCATTGCTTTAGAGAAATACCTGAAACTGGGTAATTTATAAAGAAAAGAGATCTAATTGGCTAATGGTTCTGCAGGCTGTACAGGAAGCATAGTGCCACCCATTTGCTTTTGGGAAGGCCTTGGGAAGCTTCCAATCATGGTGGAAGGCGAAGTGGGAGAGAGAAAGAGAGGGTGGGAGGTCACACACTTTTAATGACCAGATCTCCTGTGAACTCAGACCGAGAGATCACCAAGGGGATGGCCCAAGCCATTGATAAGGGATCCACCCCCATGACCCATACACCTCCCACCAGGCCCCACCTCCACTGGGGGGGGGTCATATTTCAACATGAGATTTGGGTGAGGACAATATCCAAACTATGTCACATGCTGCACTATTATTTTATTGGGAGTGAAAATAAAAATAGGTAAGAGTTTTTCAGAGGCATTTCAGATATCATCCCCTCTCTTGCTCCCCAAGCAAGGTGCTCAGGGTGAAGGCCACAGCTTTCATGTGGGGAAGCCCGAGTTGATTGGCCATTTCTCCTTCTTCCTGGAAACTTTTGGTTCTTGCTTATTGTCCTCCCTTGAGTTTCCCTGATATGACACAATCATGCCGGTAGTCATTATTTTTTTTTTTAGTGGCGGGGTGGGGTTTGGCGGACGGAACCTTGCTCTGTTGCCCAGACTGGAGTGCAATGGCACAATCTCGGCTCACTGCAACCTCCGCCCCCCAGGTTCAAGCTATTCTCCTGCCTCAGCCTCCCAAGGAGCTGGGATTACAGGCACCTGCCACCACGCCTGGCTAATTTTTATATTTTTAATAGAGACAGAGTTTCACCATGTTGGCCAGGCTTGTCTCGAACTCCTGACCTCAGGTAATCCACCTGCCTCGGCCTCTCAAAGTGCTGGGATTACAGGCATGAGCCACCACACTTGGCTAATTTTTGTATTCTTAGTAGAGATGGGGTTTCACCATGTTGGCCAGGCTGGTCTCAAACTCCTGACCTCAGGTGATCTGCCCGCCTTGGCTTCCCAAAGTGCTAGGATTACAGCATGAGCCACCGTGCCTGGCCAAAGTTTAGATAATTTAATGAATGAATCCCCTTTACCTCTGCTGTTGCATGTGTCTTGAGCAGGTGCACTGTGCATTTGATTAGGGTAGACCGAAAAGGGTTGTTGTACTGTCCCAGAATAGGTGCATAAATGGGGGCAGGGTCTGATGTCTGAATGCTACTGTTTATGCCTGTCTTCTTGGTTTATTTTGGTGCAGAATGTAGCCGTGAGTTCAGGCAGTGGGCAGAATGATCTGGAAAAGATGACCAGCATCCTGGAAGCTGTGCCACAGGTTAAGTTTATTTGCCTGGATGTGGCCAATGGGTATTCAGAACATTTTGTGGAATTCGTGAAACTTGTCCGTGCCAAATTTCCTGAACACACCATTATGGTAAGTACGGTAGAACATTACGGTAGAACATTCTCAAGATGGGGAAGCCACGAGGGAGTTGTTCAATGTGTCGGGGGAGCTGTATCCTCTTCAGAGCTTTTGGTGCCTCTTTAGTCAAAGATTAATTGAGGATCATTTGGGAAAGGATAGGTAGCCGCTGCGGAAGATCTGAAAACTAGCTTCCCTCTATAAAAAATAAAATCCCCATCAACTTCATAGGATGTTGGCTGCAATTTTTCCTAAGTATCATCACATGTTTCTTACTATCTGATACTTTTTCTTTTTTTTTTTTTGAGAAGGAGTCTCACTCTGTCCACCCAGGCTGGAGTACAGTGGGGTGATCTCGGCTCACTGCAACCTATGCCTTCCAGGTTCAAAAGATTCTTGTACCTCAGCCTCACAAGTAGCTGGGATTACAGGCGCCCATCACCATGCCTGGCTAATTTTTTGTATTTTTAGTAGAGACGGGGTTGCACCATGTTGGCCAGGCTGGTCTCGAACTCCTGACCTCAGGTGATCCACCCACCTTGATCTCCCAAAGTGCTGAGATTACAGGTGTGAGCCACCACACTCAGCCCCATATGATACCTTTAAAAGGGGTTTGTATTACTTCTTAACAGAGAGTGTATTTTAAGATTGAAAACGTGACTGGGTTTGAGTGTCACATATGTAGGTCCTCCATGTCCCACCCCTACTGCCAGCAGGAAACTCTGCTGTAGGAATTGGGAGTCTACGTTATGAACATTTCACGACAGTCTACTATCGATGGTGAATCGGTCAGTGGTGTGTTTTATCTAGGAGCTTTGTTTCTTGACTTTTCCTGTATTTTCCTAATTATCTGCACCTTACCTAGTTAGAATGTAGATTTGTGACTTTTGGGAAAGATGGATTGGCAGAAAAAGGGACTTAGCAGCTCTAGAGTACAACTTGGGCTTTTGCAAAAACCTGTATTGTAATTATGCAAGTCTTTGCTAATTCTAATTATGATGGCACATACTGATTGACCACTAGATAATTTACCTACCCCTTCCTTTTTTGAATTTTGAACTTCGTTTCTTCTCATATATGTTATCATTGTAAGAAAGTTGGGAGGAAGGAATTGTTATGGAGTAAAGTCTTCTTCTAAAGGACTTTCAAGGATTGTTAAGGATTTTTATGTTTTTCAAACACATAGGAAGAAAGGATCAAGAATTGTTCCAGCTGGGCGCAGTGGCTCACGACTGTAATCCCAGCACTTTGGGAGGCCGAGGCAGGTGGATCACCTGAGGTCAGGAATTTGAGACCAGCCTGGCCAACATGGCGAAACCGTGTCTCTACTAAAAATACAAAAATTAGCCAGCCGTGATGGCGGGTGCCTGTAATCCCAGCTACTTAGGAGGCTGAGGCAGGAGAATCTCTTGAACCCAGGAGGTGAAGCTTGCAGTGAGCCGAGATCACACCACTGCACTCCAGCCTGGGCAACAGAGGGAGACTCCGTCTCAAAAAAAAAAAAAGAATTGGCCGGGTGCAGTGGCTAATGCCTGTAATCCCAGCACTTTGGGAGGCCGAGGTGGGTGGATCATGAGGTCAAGAGTTCAAGACCAGCCTGGCCAAGATGGTGAAACCCTGCATCTACTAAAAAAAAAAAAAAAAAAAAATAGAAAAATTAGCCAGGCATGGTGGCAGATGACTGTAATCCCAGCTACTTGGGAGGCTGAGGCAGAGAATTGCTCGAACCCGGGAGGCAAAGGTGGCTGTGAGCCGAGATCTCACCATTGCACTCTAGCCTGGGAGACAGAGTGAGACTCTGTCTCAAAAAAAAAAAAAAAAAAAAAAAGAGTTGTTCCAAGGTCAACCAGCTGTACCAGTGTTAGAAGTGGGTTGGGAAATAGAAAAATTCACTTTGTTCTCTGTAATAGAACAGCCAACTTCATTGCTTTTGATAATGATGTTTGTTGAATACTGTTAAATAATAAGAAATGTATATGTGTTTATTGGTCTCAGCCCTTGGTTCTTGAGACAGAACTCCTAAAACCCTTGTAGATAAGGGTGCTAAGAGAATCTTTTGTTCTAATATTTGGTCATTGATCCTGATTGCTGACACAGAGCTTCTAGAACCTTTGTAATTTCCAGAGTGATGACAGCACCTGGCACAGAGCTTCTGAATCCCTTGAGATTTCCTGGGTGGTAGGAGTAGCTTTTGTTCTAATATTTAATCTTTGACCCTGGTTCCTGACACATGGCTCTTAAATCCCTTGGGATTTCCTGGGTGATAGCAGCACAGCTGCTCTTGTCCTAACAAGGCGACTCTTAATGGGCTCCTGTGTGGGGGTTGGTCATCAGATAGAACAAGCCATGATTAGAAGCTTGGAGCTTCTGGCTCCATCCTCCATTTTCCAGAGAGGGGAGAGGGCTGGAAGTAGAGTTAATAATCCATTATGCCTCCTTGACGAGGCCTTCACAGAAACCCCCAAAGTATGGGGTTTTGAAAGCTTCCTGGCGGGTAACACGTCTACATGCCTGGAGGGTGGCAGACCCCAGCTCTGTGGGTCCAGCACTCTGGACTCTTCCAGACCTCACCCTATGTCTCGCTTCATCAGGCTGTTCATCTGTATCCTTCATCATAGCCCTTATTAATACGATAAACTGGTAAACATTCCATAAGTGGTCATCCTTTATGTCTTTTATCTTCTTTTTCTTGATAGTATATTTGAGATTCACCACATTGCTTTATGTCAGCTGTATATATATATTCCTTGGTTCCTGAAGCTAATCTTTAATATCATTTCCTAGATACCTCACTTGCTCTTTTTCCTTCTCTTTACTTTCCAGCTGGTTGTATCGCTGTTAAACTCACTCCTTAATGCTCTTTGTCTGAGTCTGTTTAGTCTGCTAGCATAAAATACCATAAACTGACTGGTGTATAAACAACAGAAAATTGCTCACAGTTCTGGAGGCTGGAATTCCAAAATCAAGGTGTTGGCTGATTTAGTGTCTAGTTTCACCGTTCCTCATAGGTGGTGCTTTCTTGCTGCATCTTCATATGGTGGAAGAGGCATACAGGCTCCTTGGAACCTCTCTTGTGAGGGCACTAATCGCATTCATGAAGGCTGCACCCTTATGACCTAATCACCTCCCAAAGGCCCTGCCTCCTAATGCCATTGGATTGAAGATTCAGTTTCAGCATAGGAATCTGTGGGGGACACAAACATTCAGCCCATAGCACCCCAGAAGTCAGTGTGGGCACATGAGCTGAGTCACACTGGGGAAATCGCATTCTTTCTGAATCTCACTTTCCTCACCTGTGAAAAGGAGGTTGAGGATCCTCGTGGCTGGAGAATGACTCGGGCTCAGATGGGATGCTGTTTTGTAACAGTGCCACCTTCACTAGCATTTGCTCGTCTCTGGTGAGTGTCATCAAGGGCACATGCTCTGAGAACTGAGTCAGAGATGGAGAAGAAAGATGGAGGGTAATGTGGGGTTTAAGAAGAGAGAGAAAATGTGTGTCACTCTTTAAAATGACAAGTGATAGCAGAAATGCATTAGTGCTCCCAAGCTGTCCATTACATTCTCCAAACTGGAGCTGCTGTGGGGTGTAGTTCACAGCTGGGCCTGCTGAGAACTGTGAGCTGCCTGTTGGACAGCCTAGAGAGCCTGCATGTCACCTCTGAAGGACAAAGACCAGGAAGGAGGGAAGTGCAGGAAGGAGGGGGCTGGGTAAGACGAGGGAAAGGGTGTTGTTGCCAGTGCAGAACTTAGGAGTTGCTATGGGGGAGTTTACTGGGAGGGAGGAGATCGGTTCAGAGTTCCCACAGCTGTCTGGGAAGCCACCAACAGCGAGGCCCTCTCCAGCACCCGCTGGCTGGCTGGCCCAGGGGTATGTTTTCATTGCTCTTGTTGGTTTCCCCAGCAATGAACAGGAGACTTTGGCAAGGTAGGTGTTTATTCTTAAGCTGTTCTGTGCCTGCATTGACCCTTGAAATCTGTGATTCTTTTGGAAACCTCCAGTACTTTTATGTCCTTGGTTTTTGGTGTTTTTGAAACATAATTTCTTATGGCTTTTGGAGGCATTGTGAAGACGCATTCACATTTTTCCAGTGTTTTGGAATGAATGATGTAATATGAGGGCTGAGTGTTATGGAATGGAGTGTTATTACGATTGTTACAATACAGTGAACAGAAAGGATGCTCACAAACGTTCCAGGAAGAAGCTGGCAGTTCCTGGCCTCTGCACCAGGAGTGAGGGCTTGTCGCTCCCTGTGCCCAGTTTCTCCTGGTTTTTTTTCCTTGCCTTTTTTCATGTGCGTCCGTGTGAAGAGACCACCAAACAGGCTTTGTTTGAGCAACATGGCTGTTTATTTCACCTGGGTGCAGGCGGGCTGAGTCCGAAAAGAGAGTCAGCGAAGGGAGATAGGGGTGGGGCCGTTTTATAGGATTTGGGTAGGTAAAGGAAAATTACAGTCAAAGAGGGGTTGGTTTGTTCTCTGGCGGGCAGAGTAGGGGTCACAAGGTGCTCAGTAGGGGAGCTTTTGAGCCAGGATGAGCTAGGAGAAGGAATTTCACAAGGCAATGTCATCAGTTAAGGCAGGAACAGGCCATTTTCACTTCTTTTGTGGTAGAATGTCATCAGTTAAGGCAGGAACCGGCCATCTGGATGTGTACCTGCAGGTCACAGGGGATATGATGGCTTAGCTTGGGCTCAGAGGCCTGACATTCCTGTCTTCTTATGTTAATAAGAAAAATAAAACAAAATAGTGGTAAAGTGTTGGGACGGTGAAAATTTTTGGGGATGGTATGGGGAGATAATGGGCGATGTTTCTCAGGGCTGCTTCGAGTGGGATTAGGGGCGGCGTGGTAACCTAGAGTGGGAGAGATTAAGCCGAAGGAAGATTTTGTGGTAAGGGTTGATATTGTGGGACTGTTAGAAGAAACATTTGTCATTTAGAATTATTGGTGATGGCCTGGATACGGTTTTTGTATGAATTGAAAAACTAAACGGAATAAGAGAAGGAGAAAAACAGGTATTAAAGGTCTAAGAATTGGGAGGACCTAGGACATCTAATTAGAGTGCCTAAGGAAATTCAGCATAGTCCTGTCAGCAAAGATTATTTATTTACTTCAAGAGTTAAGAGTGGCAGTTTGGGGATAGCACCAGGAGATATCAGCTGTGATGGCTTGGAGAAACAGTGTAAACCGGCAGTGTAAACAAGAGCAGGGCATGTATGAGTAGTTGAGAATGGTGAATAGGAGTATGACTAGACAGAAGATAGTAGGGATGACAAGTTTTTTTGGGGCACAGTCTAAGTTGGTCTGGTGTCTGGAATGAGACTGGGGCCTAATAAAAAGGAGCGTCTATACAGGAGCTCAAATAGGCTGTACTTTGTAGCATTCTGAGGACAGGTCTGACTTCTGAGAAGGGAAAGTGGTAAAAGTATTGTCCAGTCCTTTTTAAGTTGGTGGCTGAGCTTGGTGAAGTGTGTTTTTAAAAGACCTTTAGTCCGTTCTACTTTTCCTGAAGACTGAGGACCGTAAGGGATATAAAGGTTTCACTGAATACTAAGAGCCTGAAAAACTGCTTGGCTGATTTGACTAATAAAGGCTGGTCTGTTATCAGACTGTATAGAGGTGGGAAGGCTAAACTGAAGAATTATTTCTGACAGAAGGGAGGAAATGACTGTGGTGGCCTTCTCAGACCCTGTAGGAAAGGCCTGTACTTATCCAGTGAAAGTGTCTACCTAGACTAAGAGGTATTTTAGTTATCTGACTCGGGGCATGTCGAGTAAAGCTAATTTGCCAGTCCTGGGTGGGGGCAAATCCTCGAGCTTGATGTGTGGGGAAGGGAAGGGGCCTGAATAATCCTTGAGGAGTAGTAGAATAGCAGATGGAACACTGAGAAGTTATTTCCTTGAGGATAGATTTCTACGATGGAAAGAAAATGAGAGGTTCTAAGAGGCGGGCTAGTGGCTTGTACTATAGCATAGCCTGCCTTTGCTGGTGTGTGGCGATTAGGCCTGGTGGAACTGCCATCAATAAATCAAGCGTGATCAGGGTGAGGAACGGCAAAGAAGGAAATATGGGGAAATGGAGTGAATGTCAGGTGGATCAGAGAGATACAGTCATGGGGGTCAGGTGTGGTATCAGGAATAACGTGGGAGGGTGGATTGAAGTCCGGGCCAGGAACAATGGTAATTGTGGGACTTAACAAAGAGTGAGTACAGCTGAAGGAGCCGGGGAGCAGAAAGTATATGCGTCAGGTATGAGGAAGAAAATAGATTTTGGAAGTTATGAGAAATGTAGAGAGTAAGTTGAGCATAGTTTGTGATTTTGAGGGCCTCTAAAAGTATTAGGACGGCGGCAGCCGCTGCACGGAGACATGATGGCTAGGCTAAAACAGTAAGGTCAAGTTGTTTGCACAGAAAGGCTACAGGGTGCGGTCCTGGCTCTTGTGTAAGAATTCTGACTGCACTAACCATGCCTAGGAAGGAAAGGAGTTGCTGTTTTGTAAGGAATTGAGGTTTGGGAGATTAATTGGACACTATCAGCAGGGAAAGCACGTGTGTTTTTATAAGAATTATGCTTAGATAGGTAACAGATAAGGAGAAAATTTGGGCTTGACTGAAGTAATGGGGGCTGTCTGTGAAGCTTTGCAACAGTACAGCCCAGGTAATTTGCTGAGCCTGACGGGTGTCAGGGTCAGTCCAAGTGAAAGCGAAGAGAGGCTAGGAGGACAGGTGCAAAGGAATAGTAAAGAAAGCATGTTTGAGATCCAGAACAGAATAATGGACTGTGGAGAGAGGTATTGAGGATAGGAGAGTATATGGGTTTGGCACCATGGGGTGGATAGGCAAAACAATTTGGTTGATAAGGCGCAGATCCTGAACTAACTTGTAAGGCTTGTCTGGTTTTAGGACAGGTAAAATGGGGGAATTATAAGGAGAGTTTATAGGCTTTAAAAGGCCATGCTGTAGCAGGCGAGTGATAACAGGCTTTAATCCTTTCAAAGCATGCTGTGGGATGGGATCTTGGCATTGAGCAGGGTAAGGGTTATTAGGTTTTAATGAGATGGTAAGGGGTGCATGATCGGTCACCAAGGAGGGAGTAGAGGTATCTTATATTTGTGGGTTAAGGTTGGGGGATACAAGAGGAGGACACAAAGGAGGCTTTGGATTGGGAAGAAGGGCGGCAATGAGATGTAGCTGTAATCCAGGAATAGTCAGGGAAGCAGATAATTTAGTTAAAGTGTCTCGGCCTAATAAGGGAACTGGGCAGGTGGGGATAACTAAAAAGGAGTGGTTAAAAGAGTAACGTCTAAGTGGGCACTAGAGTTGGGGGATTTTAAGAGGCTTAGAAGCCTGGCCGTCAATACCTATAACAGTTATGGAGGCAAGGGAAACAGGCCCTTGAAAAGAAGGCAATGTGGAGTGGGTAGCCTCCGTATTGATTAAGAAGGGGACAGACTTACCCTCCACTGTGAGAGTTACGCGAAGCTCGGCATCCGTGATGGTCTTGTAGGGGGCTTCCGAGGCGATCGGGCAGCATCAGTCTTCAGCCGCTAAGCCAAGAAGATGTGGGAAGCAGTCAGAGAGCCTTGGGCCAGAATTCCAGGGGCGCTGGGAGTGGCTGCCAGGTGAGTTAGACAGTCCGATTTCCAGTGGGGTCCCGCACAGATGGGACTCAGCTTAGGAGGAATCCTGGGCTGCAGGCATTCCTTGGCCTGGTGGCCAGATTTCTGGCACTTGTAGCAAGCTCCTGGGGGAGGAGGTTCTGGAGGAACGCCTGGCTGCTGCGGTTCAGGCGTTTGGAAGTTCTTGTGTGCTGGAGATGTGGCTGGGGTTTGTCTCACAGTGGAGGCAAGGAATTGCAACTTTTCTCTATTATTGTACACCTTGAAGGCGAGGTTAATTAAATCCTGTTGTGGGGTTTGAGGGCTGGAATTTAATTTTTGGAGTTTTCTTTAATGTCGGGAGCAGATTGGGTAATAAAGTGTATTTTGAGAATAAGACGGCCTTTTGAACTTTTAGGGTCTAGGGCTGTAAAGCGTCTCAGGGTTGCTGCCAAACGAGCCATGAACTGGGCTGGATTTTTATATTTGATGAAAAAGAGCCTAAACGCTATCCGATTTGGGATAAAGAAAAAGGAGCATTAACCTTGACTATGCCTTTAGCTCCAGCCACCTTTTTAAGAGTAAATTGCTGGGCAGGTGGGGAGGGCTAGTCACGGAACGAAACTGTAAGCCAGACTGTGTGTGAGGAGGGGAGGTGATAAAAGGATTATAGGGTGGAGGAGCGGAGGCTGAGAAAGAATTGGGACCTAGCTCGGCCTGGCGAGGAGCAGCCTGGGGAGGAGGGGAGAGGTCAGATGAGTCTGTAGAAAAGGAAGATTAGAAAGACTCAGCGACGCTTGGGGTTGGGACTGAGGGGACAGGCGGGAGGGAAAGGAGGAAGATTTGGGACGAGTTGCATTGGGAACAGAGACTAGAGAGGGACCGATGTGTAAAAGAATGCCTGGATGTCAGGCACCTCAGACCATTTGCCCATTGTACGACAAGAATTATTTAGATCTTGTAGGATGGAAAAATTGAAAGTGCCATTTTCCGGCTATTTGGAACTACTGTCGAGTTTGTATTGGGGTCAAGCAGCACTGCAGAAGAAAATAAGATGCTTAGATTTTAGGTCAGGTGAGAATTGAAGAGGTTTTAAGTTTTTTGAGGACACAGGCTAAGGGAGAAGAAGGAGGAATGGAGGGTGGAAGGTTGCCCATAGTGAAGGAAGCAAGCCTAGAGAAAAGAGAGTAGAGACACGGAGGGAAGGGGTTCAGGGGTTCTTACCTTCCAGAAAAGCGGGAAAGGGGTTGGGGCGTGGAAATAAGGGGTTGGGATGCAGAGATAAGAGGTCGGGTTGCAGAGATAAGAGGTCGGGGCACGGAAATAAGGGATGGGGTGCAGAGATAAGAGGTCAGGGCACAGAAATAAGGGATTGGGGTGCAGAGATAAGAGGTCAGGGCACAGAAATAAGGGATTGGGGTGCAGAGATAAGAGGTCAGGGCACAGAAATAAGGGATTGGGGTGCAGAGATAGGTCAGGGCACAGAAATAAGGGATTGGGGTGCAGAGATAAGAGGTCGGGGCACAGAAATAAGGGATTGGGGCACAGAGATATAAGAGGTTGGGGTACATGCCCCTCCTCTAGAAAAGTGGGACTTGCCGCTAAGTGTGAAGGAGAAGGGGTTGGGGGTTTCTTGCCCCCCAGAAAGGCGGAGAAGGGATAGAGACACGGAGAGAAGGGATTAGGGTACTTGCCCCTTCCCCAGAAAAGCAGGACTTGCCGCTAAGGGTGAAGGACCAAGGCAGGCATCCCTGCGTGGTCTGACACCTCTGAAACCCGGTAGAATAATCAGAGGTGTCCCTGCAATGATTAAACACCAAGGGAAGGCTGCCTTCCCTAGTCTGTGACCGGCGCCGGAGTTTTGAGTCCGTGGATAAAACGTGTCTCCTTTATCTCTACCAGAAAATGAAAGGAATTGAAATTAAAAGAAGGGAGAGATTGAAGTGTGGCGCCAAGATTGAAAGGAGAGAGGCTGAGGGATAGTGAGGGAGGTTGGAGAAGAGAGTAAAAAGAGGCCGCTTACCGGATTTGAAATTGGTGAGATGTTTCTTGGGCTGGTCGGTCCGAGGACCTGAGGTCGTAGGTGGATCTTTCGCAAAGAGCAGGAGGACAGGGGATTGATCTCCCAAGGGAGGTCCCCCGATCTGAGTCACGGCACCAAATTTCATGTGCGTCCGTGTGAAGAGACCACCAAACAGGCTTTGTGTGAGCAACATGGCTGTTTATTTCACCTGGGTGCAGGCGGGCTGAGTCCGAAAAGAGAGTCAGCGAAGGGAGATAGGGGTGGGGCCGTTTTATAGGATTTGGGTAGGTAAAGGAAAATTACAGTCAAAGGGGGGGTTGTTCTCTGGTGGGCAGAGTGGGGGTCACAAGGTGCTCAGTAGGGGAGCTTTTGAGCCAGGATGAGCCAGGAGAAGGAATTTCACAAGACAATGTCATCAGTTAAGGCAGGAACAGGCCATTTTCACTTCTTTTGTGGTGGAATGTCATCAGTTAAGGCAGGAACCGGCCATCTGGATGTGTACATGCAGGTCACAGGGGATATGATGGCTTAGCTTGGGCTCAGAGGCCTGACACCTTTCACCTAAGATGGGCCTTGCCACATAGGGGTAGGAGAACAGGGATTTTTAGAGAACACCTTTGTCAGAAAAGGTCCTATTGAGGGGCTGGCTGATTGAAGAGTATACCAAGTCCTGTGGCCATTTGCCTGGTGGCTTTCAGGGAGGAAAGAGAATAATGTGTTCTCGGGTACATTCTCAGTACTGTGTAAAAAGGCACTAGCACAGACTAGGCACTTCTTTGTTAAAAAAAAGTTTGTAGAAACAGAATATTGCAGTGTTGACCAGGGTGATCTCAAACTCCTGACTTCAAGTAGTCCTCCTACCTCTGCCTCCTAAAGTGCTGAAATTACAGGCATGAATCACCATACCTGGCCAGAATTTCTTTTCTAATAACAAATCTTTGAGTAGAGGTAATAGCACCTACTTTTGTTGATGTAAAACTTAGTCCTAGAGAGCTCAGGGAGCCTTCTGAGGGTTACACCACTAGTGAGAGCTGGACCTGGCATTTAGGGCTAGGTGGCTTGCCTGAGCCTGCAAATTTTTGCTGTTGTCCCCCACATGCCACCAGTTCAGGCTTGCTGGTGAGAGGTGAAGCCAGCTTGACTTTCTGGGTCCAGTGGGGACTTGGAGAACTTTTCTGTCTAGCCTAGAGGATTGTAAATGCATCAGTCAGTGCTCTGTGTCTAGCTAAAGGATTGTAAATGCTCCAATCAGCACTCTGTAAAAATAGCACCAAGCAGCGCTGTGTCTAGCTAAAGCAGCACTGTGTCTAGCTAAAGCAGCGCTGTGTCTAGCTAAACGCACCAATCAGCACTCTGTAAAAACACACCACTCCGCACTCTGTTAAATGGACCAATCAGCAGGATGTGGGCGGGGCCAAATAAGGGAATAAAAGCTGGCTGCTGGAGCCAGCCCGGATAACCCACTCCGGAACCCTTCCACGCCATGGAGGTTTTCTTCGTTCGCTTGCTGCTGCTCGCTCTTTGGGTCCACGCGACGTTTATGAGCTGTAACACTTACTGCAAAGATGTGCAGTTTCACTCCTGAAGTCAGTGAGACCACGAAGCCACCCGCCGGGAGAAAGGAACAATTGTGGATGTGCAACCTTTAAGAGCTGTAACACTCACCGTGAAGGTCTGTGGCTTCACTGCTGAAGTCAGTGAGACCACGAACCCAGTGGGAGGAATGAACAACTCCCGACGGGCTACCTTTAAGAGCTGTAACACTTGCCATCTTTAAGAGCTGTAACACTTGCCATCTTTAAGAGCTGTAACACTTGCCATCTTTAAGAGCTGTAACACTTGCCATCTTTAAGAGCTGTAACACTCGCTGCGAAGAATGAAGAACGCCGCGCGCACCACCTTTAAGAGCTGTAACACTCACTGCGAAGGTCTGAGGCTTCATTCCTGAAGTCAGTGTAGACCATGAACCCACGAGGAGGAACGAACAACTCTGGGTGCGCCACCTTTAAGAGCTGTAACACTCACTGTGAAAAAGGTGGCACGTCGGACGTGCCACCTTTAAGAGCTGTAACACTCACTGTGAAAAAGGTGGCACGTCGGACGTGCCACCTTTAAGAGCTGTAACACTTCCTGTGGAAAAGGTGGCACGTCCGACGTGCCACCTTTAAGAGCTGTAACACGGCTGGGCGCGGTGGCTCACGCCTGTAATCCTGGCACTTTGGGAGGCCGAGATGGGTGGATCACCAGGTCAGGAGATCATAACCATCCTGGCTAACACGGTGAAACCCCATCTCTACTAAAAGTACAAAAAAAAGAAAAAATTAGCCGGGCGCAGTGGCGGGCGCCTGTAGTCCCAGCTACTCGGGAGGCTGAGGCAGGAGAATTGCATGAACCTGGGAGGGGGAGCTTGACGGCACTCCGGCCTAGGTGAGAGCGAGACTCCGTCTCAAAAAACAAACAAACAAAAAAAGAGCTGTAACACTCACTGTGAAGGTCGTGGCTTCACTCCTGAAGTCAGCGAGACCACGAACCGTCCGGGAGGAACGAACAACTCCGGACGTGCCACCTTTAAGAGCTGTAACACTCACTGCAAAGGTCTGCGGCTTCACTCCTGAAGTCGGCGTAGACCATGAACCCACGAGGAGGAACGAACAACTCTGGGTGCGCCACCTTTAAGAGCTGTAACACTCCCTGCGAAAAAGGTGGCACGTCGGACGTGCCACCTTTAAGAGCTGTAACATGGCCGGGCGCTGTGGCTCACGCCTGTAATCCCGGCACTTTGGGAGGCCGAGGTGGGCGGATCACCAGGTCAGGAGATCATGACCATCCTGGCTAACACGGTGAAACCCTATCTCTACTAAAAGTACAAAAAAAAGAAAAAATTAGTCGGGTGCAGTGGCGGGCGCCTGTAGTCCCAGCTACTCGGGAGGCTGAGGCAGGAGAATTGCATGAACCTGGGAGGTGGAGCTTGCAGTGAGCCGAGATCGCGCCACTGCACTCCGGCCTGGGTGAGAGGGAGACTCCGTCTCAAAAAACAAAGAGCTGTAACACTCACTGTGAAGGTCTGTGGCTTCACTCCTGAAGTCAGCGAGACCACGAACCGTCCGGGAGGAATGAACAACTCCGGACGGTGCCACTTTTAAGAGCTGTAACACTCACTGCAAAGGTCTGCGGCTTCACTCCTGAAGTCAGCAAGACCATGAACCCACCAGAAGGAAGAAACTCCGGACACATCTGAACATCTGACGGAACAAACTCCGGACACGCCATCTTTTAAGAATTGTAACACTCACCGCAGCCGAAGGTCTGTGGCTCCAGCGAGACCAAGAACCCACCGGAAGGAACCAATTCCAGACATACTGGGACTTGGAGGTCCCTGTGTTGGCTCTGGGAGATGCTTTTGTGCTGGTGGCTCTTTCTGATCTGGTCTGGAGGAAATAGGTGCCTGAGATCTAATGTGTTCAGATTAGATAGAGGCCAAGCTCTACTCCCCTGGGGCAATGCCGTGTCAGCTGCTGCGGGCAGATCTCCGGGAGCCATGGGCTGGATCTCCAGGGCGGGACCCTGACATTTCCATGCATGACTGATGGCTCATTGGCCTGCCCACATTCTTTCTCAAGGTTCTGAGCCACACAGATGTTTCCGCTGTACGCCTCTTCACAGAGAGGCGGACACATTGAATGTTCCTTGAAAGCTTGGGGCAGGTCTGGGGCCTCACCATTCAAGTGTCCCTCCCCTGAGGTACAAGGGGTGTGTATGGCTGAGAGCACCTCTCAGGCCGTGTTCCCTGGATTTTCTGTATTCACCCACTTTCTGGAACCATGGCTGAAAGCTACAAAGGTGATGTTCTCTCTGAAGAGTCACATAATAAACTCAGTTTAACATGGCTGTTGCCTGGATAGCAACTATTTTTCCATGGGCAGGTAGTGGGACATTTTCCACGTGCTTGGGAACAGTCACTGGGGTTGATACTCCTCTTTTTTGTTGTTGTTGAGATGGACTCTCACTCTGTTGCCCAGGCTGGAGTGTGGTGGCACGATCTTGGCTAACTGCAGTCTCCGCCTCCCAGGTTCAAGTGATTCTCCTGAGTAGCACACCTGGTTAATTTTTGTATCTTTAGTAGAGACGAGGTTTTGCCATATTGGCCAGGCTGGTCTCGAACTCCTGACCTCAGGTGATAACACCTGTCTCAGCCTCCCAAAGTGTTGGGATTACAGGCGTGAGCCACCGCGCCTGCCGATATTTCTCTTTTTATGTTAGGGGTTGGCACATCACAGCCTGTGGGCCAAATCTAGCCGCCTGCTGCCTGTTTGCCAACCCTTGCCTTTTATCATCCTATGGAAAGGATTTTTCTTGCAAGAGGACCCCAGAAAAACCAGTAAAAAGTGGTTACTGTTTAATGGGTACAGAATTTCAGTTTGAGATGATTAAAAAGTTCCAGAGATGGATAATGGTGATGGTTGTACAACAGTGTGAATGTACTCAATGCCACTGAACTGTACACCTAAAAACTTATTTACTAACAAATTTTATATTACATAAATTTAAAATAAATATGAATTATTTTAAATTAAAAATTTTAAATAAATTTAAATTTTTTATTTATTTTTAGGTGTACAGTTCAGTGGCACTAAGTCCCTTCACGAAAAAAATAAAAATTATTTAAAAAACAAAAATTTTATTTCTGTTTTCTATGTGTAAAATTTACACCTAGTAAATTTTATGTGTATTTGACCACAATTACAAAAAAACTAAAAAGAATGGGTAAAGGAGCAATATACAGAAAGTACTTTTAAATGGAGGGACTAACATTTATAAAGCACCACCAAGAGCTGGGCCCTGTGCTAAGAATTTGAGAGAACTTTCTTTGTAAACCTTTTAAGGACTAAAAGTGGGTACATCCACCCCCATTTTATAGCAGGATAAATGGAGACTCTGGTTGAAGTGATTTGCTCAAAAGTACCCAGTAATGAGGGAGGTCTAGCATTCGACCCCAGATCTTTCCGAACTTATTTTGCCATAGATGTTGAGGCCTAAAGGAAAGCTGGAAAAATTGGGGCAAAGCAGTTTTTGTTTTTATTTTTGCCCAGAGACCTTTTGTCATCAGTTCTGTTCAGGCTGCAATAACAAGATACCATAAACTGAATAGCTTATATTATAAAAATCAGAAGTTGGCCTGGTGTGGTGGCTCATACCTGTAATCCTACCACTTTGGGAGGCCAAGACAGGCAGATTGCGTGAGCCCAGGAGTTTGAGACCAGCCTGGCCAACATGGAGAAACCCCATCTCTACTAAAAATACAAAAAATTAGCTGGGCGTGGTGTCACATGCCTGTAGTCCCAGCTACTCGGGAGGCTGAGGTGGGAGGATCACCTGAGCCTGGGAAGTTGAGGTTACAATGAGCTGTGATTGCGCCATTGCACTCCAGCCTGGGTGACAAAGTGAGACCCTGTCTCAAAAATAAATAAATAAATAATACAAATCAGAAGTTTATTTTCACAGTTCTGAAGGCTGGGAAGTCCAGTATCAAGGCAGATTCGGTATCTGGTGAGGGCCGGCTTCCTGGCTCATAGATAGATGGCCATCTTTTCATTGTCACCTCATGTGGATCTCTCTCAGTCCTCTCTTAGACGGCCACTAATCCCATTGTTGGGGGCTCTGCCCCCATGACCTACCTAATTCACCTCCCCAAATCCCCACCTGCTAATATCACCACCTTGGGAATAAAGATTTCAACACTTTAATTTTGGAGGGACGTAAACATTCAGACCATACCAACTTTTTAAAAAATGGTACAAAAGTACTTGAAGTCTTGGCTTGGCCACTTTTTATGTCTTTTCCATGACCTTCAACCTCTCCTTGACACAGAATTGTTGCCTTCCAGAGCATGGGGGAGCCCAAAACATGCTTGGCTTCCCTAGGAAGAGGGGTTGCCTATCAGAAACCTCCATCTGCCTGCCTCAGTGCTCTGGACAAGGGTTCATTGCTTCCATGTTGTCATGGCTGCCCAAGAAATGAACCTGCATGAACTGCCTGGGTGACTGAGCCTGCTGTGCTGCTACGCACAGTCCCATTCTGACAGTCCTGTATCCGCTCCACACCCAAGGTGCTTCATGACAAGATAAAGTAGACTCCTCACTTAATCACCCTGACCAGCTGCTTCCTGGCCCCTGTTATCACACCCCATTCCCAGAGGCTGCTCGAGGGCACACCGGGGACTTCACTAAAGCCTGACCACACTCCTGTCATATTCTCATTTCTGATTTGGTCTTTTCCTCTTTTCCCTTATTTTGCCCTTCTTGATTTCAAACTTGAATTGACAGCTTTTTGTTCCTGCCAATGGAAACTCCCCCGTCCTCCTGGAAGCATTCTTGCTGTGCTGTCCCTCATGGTTGAGGCATTTCATAATCACTTTGGGTTTTTCCAGACAGTAGCAGTGACCACATTTGGACCATGGACAGATTCAGCAGCCACACAGGTAGCTGATGGGATGGAGAGACATTTGCACAAGCTTCTGGGTTACTAAAGCGGCGTCAGCCTTCTTGATGTTTTTAAGCTGACTTTGGCCAGTTGAGGTGGCTCATACCTGTAATCCCAGCACTTTGGGAGGCAGAGGTGGGGGGATTACTTGAGGCCAGGAGTTAGAGACCAGCCTGGGCAACATAGCAAGGCCCTATCTCTGCTTTAAAAATAATTAAATAAGTAACTAGAACTTACTTTGACTCTACCGGGTTGTACCTGGTACGTCTATGGTGAGCTGACTTGAATTAATCTATTTTATCTAAAGTAGCCCCTTAAAAATAAAATGGTTCGCAGGTGGCGCCAGATTGGGGAAAAGAAATCCACATTGAAAATGAAATTGTGGCCGGGCGCAGTGGCTCATGCCTGTAATCCCAGCACTTTGGGAGGCTGAGGCAGGCAGATTGCTTGAGCTCAGGAGCTTGAGACCAGCCTAGGCAACAAGGCGAAACTCTGTCTCTACAGAAAATACAAAAATTAGCTAGGCGTGGTGGCACATACCTGTAATCCCAGCTGCTTGGGAGGCTGAGGCAGGAGAATCGCTTGAGCCTGGGAAGTTCAGGCTGCGGCGAGCCATGTTTGTGCCATTGCACTCCCGTCTGGGAGACAAGAGTGAGACCCTGTCTCAAAAAGAAAAAAGAAAACAAAATGTGTGGTGGGCTTAGAGTAGCTTCTCTAAAGTTTTTGTGGTTTTGTTTGGTTGTTTAGCAAGTCAGCCACTTGGGAAGAACTGGAGCTCGCGCCCTGCTTCTTAGGCTCCTGTTAGGTTCTCTGTCAGGGACAGAGCTCATGCTGTTCCTCGCACTATAAAAAACAAAACTACACACTCCTGCCCCCATTATAATTATAAAAGTAACACACTTTCTAGTATAAAATCTAGAAAAGATTAAAGAAGAAACAAAAAAAAGTTTGATCATCTCTTCACCTAGACATCATCTGTTAGCATTTTGGTGTATTTTTTCATACACACATACACTTTTTTTAATAACAAAATTGAGATCTTTCTATTTCTCCCAACATTATACTGAAAGCATTTAAGCATTTTTCCCATGCTGTCAAACCACTCTTAGGCTGGGTGCGGTGCCTCACACCTGTAATTGCAGCACTTTGGGAGGCCAAAGTGGGCAGATCACCTGAGGTCAGGAGTTTGAGACCAGCCTGGCCAACTTGGTGAAACCCCATCTCTACTAAAAATACAAAAATTAGCCAGGCAGTGGGGGCGTGTGCCTGTAATACCAGCTACTAGGGAGGCTGAGGCAGGA